>NC_000011.10:6726666-7029696 GCF_000001405.40 Homo sapiens | reverse complement strand
ACTATAAATTCTAGGTTTGGTTTTGAAATTGTTTCTAACATGCACATAAAACCATGAAATAGAACATTTTTGCTGTCCCATGAAAGATATCCGTATAAATATTCATACTGTTATTATCTTGTTCTATTTTTGTTTTGGAAGGACGTGTGCCCACAGGTTTGCTGAGCGCAAAGATCCTATATTGAACACTGTATCTTCTGTGGTAAATGTGTGGAAGAGGATAGAGGCGTTTATATATAAACTTATATTTGGAAGTGTTATTTCTTCAGAGAGATCTTATAAGAAACCTGGACTTTTGAAGTTATTGCAATGCCTCGTGAAAGTGATCTTTAATATCTAAAAGGTCTGCAAATATGAGTGATTGTAGTACTTGTTCATTTGTTGCTGTTAATATACTTTAAATGACATCTCTGTGTTGCAAAAAGGTAAAAATGCTTGTAGGATTTCTTTGCCAAATTGAAAGAACTTGTCACTTCGCTTGTCTACCACAAGCATAAAGGTAAAATAAAAGTGGTAGTATTCCATTTTTACTAAGAGTTTGAGAGACTTCCTTATAGGCCCCTAATTTCTTCCTGTCTGTACTTACATCAATCCCTCCCAATAAACAATACACATTGAACATATCAATTCTCTGGTATGTATCCTTTTACATTTTTTCTTCATGCTGCATAATTAAATTAACAGTCACACACACAAATACAAGTAACAAAATTTGAGTTACTCTTTTGTTTGTATTTTTACTCTCACCCAATAAATAATTTTACTTATTTATTTAGTGGGTATTGATCTTTCCTTACTCCACACCTTCCCACCTAGAGAATGGATCCATAAAAGATAAAGATTTTTATTTCATTCATTTTTTTAATTCTCAGTACCTAAAGCAGTGAATGAATCAATCAACAGCACCTCATTAATGAAAGAAGGGAGTAAAGTGAAAACAAGAATGGCAAGTTGAAGAAATAACAATTAGTCCAGAATGGCTAATATGGGATAAGGCAGCGAAATAATGGAATACGAATCAGAGAAATGGGGGGAAATGAGAAAGGTAGGAAGAGAGATATCATGTAGAGCTCTATATGTCACTGTAATTCCTTGGCTTTCACTCTGAGTAAACTAGGAAGCCAGCTGAGGGTTTTGGGCAAAGTGAATAATAGCTATTATGTTTTAAGAGAATCATCCTGGTTCTATATGAAGTATCCTGGAGTACAGCAATGGCAGAAGCAAGCAGACCAGTTAAGAGGCTATTATAATAATCCAGATGAGAGAAAATGATGTCTAGGGCGAGGCCGGTAGCAGTCGTGGTGCTGAAAGTAGTCATATTCTGGGTTTTTAAGATAGAACTGCAAGAATTTGCTGACAGAACAGATTGGGAGGTAAGACAAAAGAAAGGAGTCAAAGGCAAATCTAAGATACTGACTTGGGAATCTGGAAGAAAGAGATTGAGAAGATTGTTTAAAAAACCAAGTTTATGAGGCATTTCAGGAGTACATTTTTGGTAAATTTGGGATGCCTATTAAACATTGAAGTCAAATTGACAAGGAAGGAGTTTGGAGTTAGAATTCAAAGTCTGAGCAGTAGATACAAACTAGAAGTCACTAGCTTATAGGTGGAATTTAAAGCCATGGAAGATCATTCCGGGAGTGAGAATAGAACATTCAAAGACTGATCCCTGAGGAATCACTCTACTGTTTAGAAGTCACAGAGAGGGAGCAGACCTGGGAGGCGGTAATAAAATTGTTTTCAAAAAAGCATGAAAAAGAACATCCAGAGAGGAAAAACCTGAAGAGCGTGCTGTCTAAAACTCCAAGTGAAGAAAATGTTTCAAGGTAGAAAGAGAGATTAATTGTACCAAATGCTTGAAATCAATTGTGCCAAATTCTGCTGATAGAACGAGATGAGACTGAAAACTGACCATTGAATTTAGCAACATTGAGATCAATAGTTACTTTGAAAACAGTAGTTTCAGTGAGACGGTAGGGTGAAACCTAATTGAACTAGGCCAAAAAAGACTGGAAGGAGAAAAAATTGAAGACAATGGACTACTTTCTAAGAAGTTTGGCTCAAAAGGAAGGACAGAAACGATACAGTAGCTGAGAGGGAAGTAGGCCTGCTATAGACTACATGTGTCCTCCCAAATTCATATGCTGAAACCTAATCCTCAATCTGATGATATTAGGAGGTGGAGACTTTGGGACATGATTAGGTTGTGAGGGCAGAGCCTTCATGAATGGAATTGGTGTCCTTATAAAAGAGGTTCCAGAAATCTCCCTGGTTCCTTCTGCCATGTGAGGACTCTACAAGAAGACAGCCATAAATCAACCAGGAAGTGGCCCTCACTAAACTGAATCTGCTGGTGCCTTGATCTTGGACTTCCAACCCCCAGAACTGTGAGTTTCTGTCATTGTCAACCATCTAGTTTATGGTATTTTGTTATAAGAGCCTACACTAACTAAAACAGGGCCCCAGAAAATTTTATTGTTTTGTTTTAGAGAAATGACAGCATACTTGATGATGGGAAGGATATAGTATAGAGGGAAAAATTGACATTGAAAGGGAGGGGAATTACTGGAGTTAGGTGCATGTGGCATGTGAGCAAGAATGGATGGAAACTAGTGACTACATGAACAGGCTTCTAGCTAAAAAGGGGCACTGATGCAGGTAGGTGTGTGAATGCATTGTGTGGATGGGCAAGGGTATGGAAGTTCTCTTTGCTTCTTTTCTTTTTTATTATTATTATTATACTTTAAGTTTTAGGGTATATGTGCATAATGTGCAGGTTAGTTACATACGTATACATGTGCCATGCTGGTGTGCTGCACCCATTAACTCACCATTTAGCATTAGGTATATCTCCTAAAGCTATCCCTCCCCCCTCCCCCTACCCCCCATGGTGTATATGTGCCACATTTTCTTAATCCAGTCTATCATTGTTGGACATTTGGGTTGGTTCCAAGTCTTTGCTATTGTGAATAGTGCTGCAATAAACATACGTGTGCATGTGTCTTTATAGCAGCATGATTTATAATCCTTTGGGTATATACCCAGTAATGGGATGGCTGGGTCAAATGGTATTTCTAGTTCTAGATCCCTGAGGAATCGCCACACTGACTTCCACAATGGTTGAACTAGTTTTCAGTCCCACCAACAGTGTAAAAGTGTTCCTATTTCTCCACATCCTCTCCAGCACCTGTTTTTTCCTGACTTTTTAATGATTGCCATTCTAACTGGTGTGAGATGGTATCTCACTGTGGTTTTGATTTGCATTTCTCTGATGGCCAGTGATGATGAGCATTTTCTCATGTGTCTTTTGGCTGCATAAATGTCTTCTTTTGAGGAGTGTCTGTTCATATCCTTTGCCCACTTTTTGATGGGGTTACTTGTTTTTTTCTTGTAAATTTGTTTGAGTTCATTGTAGATTCCGGATATTAGCCCTTTGTCAGATGAGTAGGTTGCGAAAATTTTCTCCCATTCTGTAGGTTGCCTGTTCACTCTGATGGTAGTTTCTTTTGCTGTGCAGAAGCTCTTCAGTTTAATTAGATCCCATTTGTCAATTTTGGCTTTTGTTGCCATTGCTTTTGGTGTTTTAGACATGAAGTCCTTGCCCATGCCTATGCAGAGCAATTAAAAACACATTCATCAGTTGAGGATGAAGATGGCAAAACTCATAATCAGTTTTGTAAATGTTCTATGTACACAAAATATACTATCAATTCTAGGGTTATAAGGTTTCTATATATACCTTTGAAATTCAGATTATTATACTATTCAATCTGTGCGTGGCTTTATTTTATTGTATTGTAGTTCTAATTCTGAAACACAAATATTGAATTTTCCCATAGAACTGTATTTTTTTAATCAAGTACTCAAATTTATGCATGTATTTAGCTCCATGTATTTAGCAGGTTTGATGGCATTATACTTCTTCATAAATTGTACCTGTTATCAAAATATAAGGCCAATCTCTTTCTTTAGTTCTTAAATTAACCTTCAATTATTTGACATTTTTGCTCATTTGCCTCGTATCTTTTTTTACTCACCTCACAGATGTTTCTAGAAAACAGCATAGGGTTGGATTTTGTTACTTGAGTGACTCTGAGAGTTTCTTTCTATTGAAAAATTCAGTCCATTCACATTTAGCATAATGACTAATAATTTATTGCATCCTTTATACATGTAACTTTTGGTTTATTATTTATTTTATATCTTGGCTTTCTCTGTTTCCTTGTCCATAATTTTTTGTGGGGTATTTCTGTTTTTGGTTTGTTATTTGTTTGGAGTACTTTCTTGAATTGTGAACTCAGGGGACATCTGAGTGATACAGGCTCTGAATTCTTGAAAATCCTTAAACATTTATTTCACTACATTAGGGAGAGATGATATTTTGGCTGATGTATTGAAGCCCCTTTATCCTACTAGTCTATACTGCTATTGAACAATTTTTTAGCTTCCAACATTACAAAAGAGAAGTCCAATGTCATTTTTATTTTTAGATAACTTACCCTTTTTACCTAAAAGCTTTTCTCTTTACCCTCACAGTATAGAAATTATACCTTTTTATGTCTAGTGTGTCTTTATTCACTAATCCAGACTGAAATGTCATGAGTTATTTGGTCTACATTCATGCCTTCTCAAAAATTTTCAACACAAAGACATTTTCTATTATTCTGTTAGTCATTTGTTTCTTCACTTTTATAAACTCCTCTTTCTTTTTTTCTAGAACTTTTGTGTCTACATATTAAGTCTTATAGATCTACTATTTAAGCCTATCATCTTTTTTTCATGATTTCCATCTCTATCTTTTTCCTCTTCTATGCTTTCAGGTATTTCTTTAACCAAATCATATAGGATACCTTTTGATACAAAAAGTGACCATTTTTTCTCCTCCAATTCAATTGCTAACATGCTTAATTAGAAATACATACTTTTTTCACATTTTACTCACATATTTTTTCCATTAAAATGTACAAATGTTCTAAGCTTATTAGAGATATTTATAAAAATACAGCATAACATAGACTTGTATGCATGCACACACACACACTCATGAAAGATTTGTGACAGATATGGACACAAAGCAGCAGGGGTAAGAAAGGAGGTCCACAATACCCACACAGATTCCAGAGACCTCTCTCAGTCACAAGGTTGTGCTTTATGGCCAGCAAGTGAACTACTAAGATATTTTGATTTCAGGGAAGGCACAGCTCATTCAAGTAGGGGTCTTTTATACTACTCCTGTCATGTAGCTGAAACCAGGATATGGGACCAGGTTCAATAGCAGAAACCAAGATAGCATAACAGAAACCAGATGCAAACCATGAATCAATAAATTTTCTATAAGCAATATTGGCAAGCTGTTACAGATTTCCCTCTTGGTATTTTTTGGAAAACTACGTTAGCACAAAACTGCATTAATTCCTATGTAGCATATTCTATTCTGGTTTGGCCAAGGATCAAAACCATGGCTCCAAGCATCCCTGGAAATATTTGTAGGATTTCAATATACCATTTGAGAGTTACAATGAAATTATACACTGTGGATTAGTATTTTTCATCAGGCTTGGAAAATTCTAAATTATTATTTCTTCACATATTGATCTTTGCTCATTTTATCTTTTCTGAGACTCTAATTTTGTATGTTAGATCATTGTTTCATTGTGTTTCATATGTTTCTGATATAGTTTGGATATTTGTCCCCACTGAAATCTCCTGTTGAAATGTAATCTCTAACAGTGGAGGTGGGGCCTGGTGGGTGGTATTTGGGTAATGGGGGTGTGTCCCTCATGGCTTGGTAATGTCCTTGTGATAGTAAGTTCTCATGATATCTGGTTAAGTGTGAGGAACCTCCCTCCCTACTCTCCCTCTCTCGCTGCTTCTCCCACCATGTGAGACATGCCCATAGCCCCTTCACCTTCCATCATGATTGTAAGCTTCTTGAAGCCTCCCCAAAAGCCAAGCAGATGCAAGCACCGTACTTCCTGTAAAGCTTGCAGAACTGTGAGATTAAACCTGTTTTCTTTATAAATTATCCAGTCTCAAGTTATTTATTTATACAATGCAAGATGGCCTAATATAATTTCTTATGTTCTTTTCTGTGCTTTCTTCTCTGCACTTTAGCTTGGAGATTTTTATATATAAATATAAATAAAATATATTAATATAAATATAAATATATTTTATATATTAATACATAAATTTTTATATATTTATACTTATATATTTTTGTGTAAAAATAGATTTATACATATATAAAATAAAAATTTTATAGTACAAATGTTTTTATATAAAAATGTTTTTATATAAAAAATTTCCAAGCTAAACATGATATATATATTTATATATGTAATATAATTAAAATTATATATTTAAAATTTTATTTTATAAAATATATACTTTATCAATCTTAAAATACCTATTTTAAGATTTTATATATATAAAATTAAAATTTAAACATATTTAAAATTTTATATGTGTATATAAAATGGTTATCTTCTCATTCAGGTATTCGTATTCTTTCCTCTTCTCTGGTGGATCTGATCTGCTGTCATACACACCTATTACATTCTCAATTTTATTTTTATTCATAAAATTTTAATTTGATTTTCAATTAAAATTCCTGATCTTGTCAACTCTTCACCATTACTGAACATATTAATCACCATTATGTTTAAAATATATATTTGTTGGCTCAATAATTTAGTCATCCATGAATTTGTTTCTATTGTCTTTCTTTCTGTCCTTATAATTTTTGGGTGAATTATCAGACATTGTATACGAAACACTGTAGAAGTTCTGAATGATAATATTCCTCCTGAGAGAGTTCCTCTCATAGGCAGATAGAGAGGGGGCAGATAATAACAATCCAGTCAGGTATGGAGCTGACTCAAAGTTGAATTGCAGCTATATCTCTATTTATTGCCAGTTTGCTTCTGTTCTTATTCTTTTGCTCTCCAGGAATTCTAGTTGGGTATCTATTCCTTGATGGGTTTTGAACTATAATCTTTATCTCCTCCGATCTGTGATGAGACTTCTGAAAATTTTCTGTGCACTTCAACAGCTTTCTTCTTATCTTCTTTCCCTGTTCATCTTAAGAATTCTGCTAATGTTTGAAGAGAAAACCACCAAGTTTTAGGTTGGCTGCTTAAAGATTCCCTTTTCATCAGGATCTTGGCCCCTAAATCCCTTGCTGTCTTGTCAGACTTGACTCCAATTTTTGTTCTTAGTTATGTGACATTAACCAAAATTATGGAAAATTCTATGCCTTCAAGCCACAGTCATATTCTTAGATTCTTCAATTATTTGCTATGAAGAATCTGCAACATCTTGGACTAGGAACTTGGGCTATCCCTCTCTTCCCATGCAAGGCAGTTTCTTCACTCCTACCCTGGGTACATCTCTAGGCATCTGGTGACTGCTCCCAGGACCCCCATCAAAGCTGGTGCTTTGGGTCTCTGCACATTCAAGCCAGGGAGGGTCCATGACCAATAATTTTCAAAATGTAGCTTCCAGAGTCATAAAAAATGCAGATGCTCACTGTGTGGTGGACGGAGGCAGATAGGCTCTAGGCCGGGCACCCCTGCTAAACCCCAAACTGTAACTGGGTAGAATTCATTCCTAAAAGTCTTGCGTATGCTATACTTGGTGCTCTTTGTTATTCATATTGGCCTCTGCCCTTTAGCAGGTATATTCCTTCAGATACACATTTTGTTTCTCTGAAAACTGGATCCTCTTAGCTTTTTTTTTTTCTTTTAATTTTGGTTAGTTCAATGAGGTTCAGGTAATATTCTCAGGTTGGAAGCAGTGTGGCAGAACAGCCCACTTCCAGTGTTCGTTCTTACCGGTCAATGTCTCTGCATTCAGTAATTCAACTATCAATTGCGGCTATTTAAATACATTGCTTTTTAATGTATTTAAATAGCCGCAATTGATAGTTGAATTACTGAATGCAGAGACAGATTTAATGGGTGCAGCACACCAACATGGCACATGTATACATAGGTAACAAACCTGACCTGGACGTTGTGCACATGTACCCTAAAACTTACAGTATAATAAAAAATAAATAAATAAATACATTGCAATTTACAGGTGAAAATACTTAAGGGTGAGCGGTTAAACAACTTGCTTACCACCACCTAGTGGATAACAATGATTGACAGCTCTTAATGTCAGTTCCGTCAGACAACAAAGCCCACATTTTTAAAATGCTATGCTATGCTCTCTGAATGTTCAAACCAGGGAAGGCCCACGCCCAGTAATTTTCAAAATGTGGTCTCCAGAGTCATAAAAAATGCAAGAGCTTATTGTGTGGTGAACTCAAGCAGATAGGCGCTGGGCCACCCACCCCTGCTAAACACCAAACTGTAAATATATAGTTCACAAGACTACTTCCTATGTGCAAGGGGCTGGTTTAAGCATTTTAACTACACTAACTCATTTCAATCTAACAAGTCTGTTACATAGTTACTATTATTATTGGCTATCAATATTACGCCTATTAAGCTGATGCTTAAAGGTTAGGTAATCCAGCCAAGATCTCGTAAGTGGTGTTGTCAGATTTGAATCCAAGGAGTCCCTTGCTTGTAATGACTATCCTACCAAAAGTTCCTTGCCTAATAAAATGTTTGAATATTACTGATCCAGCCCAAGTTTGAAGGACAGGGCCCAAAGATGCGAAAGTATTTTCCTAATATAACACACTCAGCTAAATAATAGAACAGGCTCTTGCAACTCTCTGTGGTCCCAGGACACTGAGGAGGGGCTCCTTCTCATGGCTTCATTTCAGCTCCACTGTGCGTTTCCCTTCTCTGCCTGGAGTCTCCAGAGGAGCCTGGGATTTGGCAAGAAGGCGGGAGGGAGGAAAGCCTCACTGGACCAGGAACGAAGAGGGTGTCTGGCAACAATAGGACGGAATTTGAAAACCTCTAACCTTGAGTTTAGAGCGATGCTAGCTAGTGCCAGGGCTAGTGAGGTGCCCATTCCGCCAAGGCGCGGGACAGCGAGGACAACCACGCCTTGCCAACCAAAGGCGACCTGACAGCGTTTCCTCGGGGTCGTCGCGGTGGTGAGGGTCACAGAATTCTCCGAAGCCAGTAGCTCCGTTTCCAGCCACGCCCCCTTTCCCAGGGCCCTAAAAGCTTCGGGAGTTCTCCTATTCCATTAATGCTGGTGCGTCCTCGCCTTATCCCCCGAGCGCCCGCAGCTCCCGCCCGCGCAGGAATGCCAGCGGCCAAAGGTCGGGAGGCGCGGGATACTTCTGGCCAATCAGGAGTCACGTTTTCCCGCGCTCTCTCTTCCCGCCCCGCCCCTCCCGTATCCATGGAAACACTGCGAGTGTCTACTCCAAGACCTGGGACTTCCGTTTCGGTCCAGCCGGGCTGCGGCCATTGTTTGTGTGGACTGAGTGTTTTGGCCATCCCGGTCCACTCTCACAGGCTCCGTTAAGTGACATGAACTCTCAGGAGGACTGAGCCAGAAGCGGACAGGGCAAGACGAGCTGTGCTTGAAGGAAGAGGGGCAGAAAATCGAGGGTCAGGGACTGAGAAGCTACTCCGGTTTAGAAACCCCAGAGACACCCGTGTAGATGGGTACATCACGGCTTCTCTCCCACGTTAAGACTTAATAAAGGCAAGTAGAGGAGGGCAGAAGCAGCTTGGGCCCCGGGGTATGGGTGCCCGGTGTTCGGTGCCGGGGCAGAGTTCTGGCCGGGGATCTGGATAAGCAACGGAGGCCGCGCGCGTCTTCAGTGCAGGAGCAGGGGACCCCCGGGTCTGTGGCGGAGACCGGGAGATCCCGCTCCTAGAGAACCGTTCGTGTGTCTGGTTCTCTGGTGCTTACACTTGGGCAGCCCGTGACGCGTTGGGGGAGCCCAAACCTGTCCTGCTCTTGGGGCACGCATGAAACGTTTTTTCCCTAGAGAAAGAGGGTTAACTAATTGCTTATTACTTTGCCCAGGAACCTACCTTTGATCAGCAAGGAAGGACTGGGGTGGCAAAGGCTCATGCCCCCATTTTACAGGTAAGGAAACTGAGATCTTGGAGATCTATAAGTTTGGTCCTCTTTAAAGTTCTACAAGTGCTTGATGGCACAGTTGAGACTTTGATCAGGACCTGGGAGCTCCAGTTCTGGGATACTTCTCTAAGACTCCAGGTACTTTTCTGATAGTAAATCCAGTATTCCTGTTTAGCAAGTAGGGGAGGACAATGGAATGATTTTCTACTTAAACTGAACAAAATAAGAAAAATACCTTGAGAATAGATACTATTTAAGTGTGCTGGTGCTTTCCTATTATTGTTAGTAGTAATAATAATCTCAATAAATAAGTGAGTTGTATCTTTTGAAGTTTCTAGAGGGTTGGAAATAAATTTCAAGGTGCCAGTGTTCATAGCTCTCCTTTCTGGTCGTTGAAAGGAAACAAGAGCATTCATAGGCTTCTTTTGGACCTCTTGCTAGGAGATGTGTGCGTCATACCCAGTTAGTATATGGGAAATTTAATGAATTTGGGAATTTAAAGCCATACCCAGGTTTTCAGTCTGCCTTCCTCCTCAGCTCAGCCGTCTCAGCACTCTACCCTTCCCCAGAAGAGGAACACAAAGGAGGAAGGAATGTACACTGTTTCCCTCATAGTCTGATCCCAAGTGAGGATGATTGTCTTTTCTCATTTACAAAATGTCCCTGCATTCTCCATGGGTGGTGGAGGTGGCAATGAGGATGGATGGATGACTGGACAGAAAACGTTCCTCGCTTGCCTGTGAAATTTTCGAGCGTGCAGACTTGACCCTGCCCCAACCCAGTGTCTTTTCCCAACATTTACTCATTCATTCATTCAGTCACTCAAGTCTAGTGTATAATTCATGCTGTTCTTGGTGTTCTGAGATAAAGAATTATAAGAATGTCATCGCCAGGCGCGGTGGCTCACGCCTGTAATCCCAGCACTTTGAGAGGCCAAGGTGGGCGGATCACTTGAGGTCAGGAGTTTGAGACCAGCCTGGCCCACATGGTGAAACCTCGTCTTTACTATAAATACAAAAATTAGCCAGGCATTGTGGCAGGCACCTGTAATCCCAGCTACTCAGGAGGCTGAAGCAGGAGAATTGCTTGAACCCGGGAGGCTGAAGTTGCAGTGAGCCAGGATGGCACCACTGCACTCCAACCTGGGCAACAGAGGAAGACTCCCTCTCAAAAAAAAAAAAAAAAAAAAAAAAGTCTTAACATTGGGGGTAATAAACTATATGAGATTAATAATAATTTCTGAAGTTATCGACATTAAACAGTGCCAGAATGAGTGGCACTTAAAACACAGCAACAGAAACTCAGATTTGAACAATTATGAGTAGGAAGATATTCTAAATAGGAAAGCCATCATTTACTCTCAGGTACAATTTGAGGGAACAAATAAGGAAACCAGGCTAGTGACAGGGAAGTGAAACATGAATGTATAAAGCCACATTGTGGAAGGCAATTAATGTTTAAATTTGTTATTTATTCTTGTGCATCTCTTCACATGAACCATATTGACAGCCATTGTTGACCTTTGGGTGTATTTACTTGTAGTCTTTTATTTAATACTTATTGTATATATGTACTCACTAGTCTGTACAAATACTGATATGTATGTATACATGTTCATACACATGTACAAATATAAACTTAGGTATATGCACACACGTATATAAAAAGATTAGTATATATAAAACATTAAATTAAAAAATTTGACTCATGACAAATAGTCTCCATGAGGGAAGGAAATGTTCCCAGTATATAGAAGTGTACTGTGCGTATACTAAGCACTCAGTAAATATTTATTCAATGTATGAATAGCTGTTATTTGTATACGTTTTTCACTTAACATATAATGAGCATTTTTCCAAGCATGTTTTGGTAGCATGAGTTTTAATGACTGTATAGTGTTCCATTCTAGGTATATAGTATGCTTTATTTAAGTTTGCTTTTTTTTTTTTTGAGACGGAGTCTCGCTCTGTCGCCCAGACTGGAGTGCAGTGGCATAATCTCGGCTCACTGCAACCTCAGCCTCCCTGGTTCAAGCAATTCTCGTGCCTCAGCCTCCCGAATAGCTGGGACTACAGGTGCACGCCACCATGCCCAGCTAATTTTTTTGTATTTTTAGTAGAGATGGGGTTTCACCGTGTTGCCCAGGCTGGTCTTGAACTCCTGAGCTCAGGCAATCTGCCCACCTTGGACTCCCATTAAGTTTGCTTTTTACTGGGGAAAATTTAAGTATTTCCCAATATGTTGTTGTTATAAATATCTTATAATAAATATTCTTATACATAATTTGTTAAGTATATGTCTTTTTATTTTCTCAAGATATACTCTGAGAAATAGGAAAACAGAATCAAAGGATATAAGCATGTTTTAGGCTTTTGAAAAACTGAAGTTCTCTTTTAGAAATGTTATGTGAACTTGAACTCCTACAACCATTTGATGAATGATTCTATCTTACTGAGCCTTTGCCAGCACTGAGTATTAAGTTTTAAATTTTGCCTTGATTTGCATCCTTTTTAATCCTTAGTAGGGTTGACTTTTTCACATATATTCGTTGACTCTTTATATTCCTTCTTTGATGAATTGCCTTTTGATATACATCACTGTTTTCCTACTGAATTTTTTGTTTCCACTTGATATTAGATATTCTTGTGTGGAAAACATATAAATCATTTGTCATATGCTGTAAATATTTCTCCTAGTTTATCATTTGCCTTTTACTTTAAGGACTTGTTTATATAAGTTTTAAATTTGCATAAAATGAAATCTCATTTCTTTTACTTATATAGTTCTGTGCTTTGAAATCTCTTCTTCACTTCCAAATTTAATATGTAATTGCTTTCATTTTCCTGTTTCTTAATTGTGTTATTTTAAACATTTAATTTTTAAATCTATCAAGAATTTATTTTGATGTGAGAAATGACAGAATTTAAACATTCTTTTTACTTCCTACTTAGGTTATTTAATTTTTCTACTAACATTTATCTTCTCTACTGACTGTGGTGCTACCTTTTCATATACAAATTACACATACACATATGTATACAAAGATTACTTTTGAGGCTGTCTTGTTTTGTGGAGCCTCTTCTCAATTCTTACACTGGTATCAGAATGTTTTTATTGTTGTCCCTTTATATGTAGTGCATTTAATACGCAATGAAGAAGAATGTAGCATTTCTTTTTCACTCAGTGAAGATAAAAATGAGAGAGGATGGCTTTTTCCACAGAATAATATTCTGATGATTTCCATTTTGGTCAAAAAGATGTAAAAGGAACATATATATAATAAGTTTTAGATAATAAGTATATACTAACCTTTCATTATGTTTAATCAATATAGCACATTGGTCATAGTACAGGCTCTACATCCACTACCTAAGCTTATTGCATGTCTGTCACTTCTTAATACTGTGAACTAGATTGAATCACTTAGCTAGGCTTTCATCTTTATAGTGGAGAAATAACAGCTGCTGTGTAGGGCTGTTAAGAATGTTAAACAAGATCATACATGTAAAAATAACTTAGAACAGTGCTGGACATGAAGAACTAACAATTGATTGCATTGTTAGCTATTATTTGAACTATAATGCATATCTGATATAATTCTTTTTAGTCACTAAGACGTAAGAATTGAGACAGAGTATCAAGCTTAATTTTTTTTTTTTGCCAGATGTCATCATTTGTCCCAACATCATTGATTGAATAAGCCGTCTTTCCCCCACAAATTTGATGTAACCTTTGTCATGTGTAAAATGCACTGTTGTACTTGTGTCCATTTCTGGATTTGTACCCGTTTCCATTGATCTTCTCTACTTGTATGTCAAGCCATGTTATGAATTGCAGAGTCCTTATTAAAGTTTTAATATGCCATTGAATTAGCCTCTCCTCATTATTCCACTTTCAAAATGGTTTTCTTTCAAAAGCATTTGAAAATCAGTTTGTTACAGCTCCTCCAACCCCACATCAAAATCAAGATTAATATCTTGATTAAATCTGCTTGAAAATAGAGATAAGTTTAGTTAGAACAAAATTATATTTATTTCTCCTAAGACTGAGCAGAGTCATCTTGTTTTTTCAAGCCTATTTGTTGTTGTTGTTGTTTTTGTTGTTGTTTTGAGACAGAGTCATCTTGCTCTGTTGCCCAGGCTGGAGTTCAGTGGCACACTCTTGGCTCACTGCAACCTCTGTCTCCCAGGTTAAAGTGATTCTCATGCCTCAGCCTCCCAAGTAGCTGGGATTACACGGGTGAGCCCCACATCTGGCTAATTTTTGTATCTTTAATAGAGACAAGGTTTCACCATGTTGGCCAGGCTAGTCTCGAACTCCTGACCTGAAGTGATCCGCCCACCTTGGCCTCCCAAAGTGATGGGATTACAGGCATGAGCCACCGCACCCGACCCCAACCCTATTTTTAGCACTCAAAATTCTAAAACTATCTTTATATAGGTTCTGGTATTTTTGGTAAATTTATTTTTAGGAATTTATATTCTTATTGCTATTATAAATTTCATTTAGGCAGAGCTTGCAGTGAGCCGAGATCATGCCACCGCACTCCAGCGTGGGCAACAGAGCGAGACTCTGTCTCAAAAAAAAAAAAAAAAAAAATTCTAATTATTATTTATATGTCTGAACTCTTTTTGTATACTCTTAGATTTTATGTAATTTGAACTTTATTATGATGTATTTCCTATAAGCAAAAGAATATATGAAAACATACGTACAATTTAAAATATAATAACACGGACACTCACCATTGAACTCGGCATACACTGTTTTTTCTTTTTAAGACAGACTGCTTTCTCTCCCAGCCTGGAGTCCAGTAGCGTGATCTCAGCACACTGCAACCTCCACCTCCTGGGTAGTGTTTTTTTTTTGTTTTTTTTTTTTTTTGTTAGAGACAGGGTTTCGCCATGTTGGCCAGGCTGGTCTCGAACTCCTGGCCTCAAGTGACCTGCCTGCCTCAGCCTCCCAAAGTGCTGGGATTATAGGTGTGAGCCACCATGCCCAGCCTAAATCAGCATATACTTGTAAAAGCCCTCTGATGACTCCAGAATTTCTTTCCCACCCCTCTCCTAAAGGGGCAGCCACTATCTTAAATGTTGTTATTCCTTAATTGTTTTTTCCTGCGCTTTTAACTACAGGTACATTTCTAAACACAATTGTTTAGTTTTGCATATTTTTGAACATTGTAAAATTGAATCACTATATATTCTTCCATGAATGGCTTCTTTTGCATAATGCTAAATTTTACAGTGCATCGATGTTGATTCATGTAGCTGTTCATTTTCACAGCTGTGTACTATTTCATAGTATGAACAACTTATCTGTTTTGTTGTTGGACTTTTTGGATTGCTTTAGTTTTTTGCTGTTACAGCATTTATTATGCTCTAACTGTTCTTGTACAGATCTTTTGGTATACATGTGTAATGTCTAGTTTATAATTCTAGTAACAGAATTTCTGGGATCATGAATTCCCTTATCATTGCCAGTAGTTTTCAGCTGATTTTCTTGGATCTCTCAGATATGCAGTCATATCCTCTACAGATAATTTTGTCTAATTGCATTATGCTGTAGTTTCACAGTAGTTTAAAAGTTGTGGACTTGCAGTATCCTTGTCAAGTTTCCAGTTTTAATGAGAATGACTTTAATGCTTTATCTTTGGGTTTAAGATATGTTTGTATGTCTTCTGCTTTGTTTTGTTTTGCATGCTTTGTCTGTAGTTTTAAATGAAGGATGCATGTTGAATTTTAATAAGTATACTTTTTGGCATCCATTACAATAATCATATGGCTTTTCTTATTTGATGTTATTATAAAAGCTTAAAGTTAATAGCTTTCCTAATTTGAACCTTCCTTTTCTTTCTGGAATAAACTACCACTTTACCATGATATAATATGCTTTGGTATTATAACAGATTGAATTTTCCAAAGATGGCCTTACTTATTGTTGGGGTGATCAGACCCAACACCAGGTCGTGGGGGTGACAAAGTCCGGCGGAGTCAAAGGATTGAGAAAAAGACAGTGAGAGAGAAAAGGAGGTGGGAACACCAGGGGGCCATCGCTATTGTACGGAGGCTGCGAAGGCCCCAAGCTCTGGGAGCCCACGCTATTTATTGGTAATCCAACAGAGAAACAGGTGGTGAGAATGTGGAGGTCAAAAGGACACGTTGCATTAAGCACATGATTTACAGCTGCGATAGTTTAGCATTTATATGGAACATGTTCTGCTACTTTAGATAGTGGGAATAGGAGCCTAGGAGGGCTAGAAGCAAGGAGCCAGCAAGTCTAGACACATTCCAAAGGACATTATGCAAACCCTGCCTCAGTTTCCTTCACAACACTCAGCTTTTTCCCAACACTTACAATTTATGCTGTTTTCATGCTCTTCTTATGATGTGACTGACATTGTTTCCACTGAAAGGTGGGGTCTGTGTCCCACCCCTCTCAAATACAGCCATGGCTTGTGATTGCCTCATCAGTGGAGTACAGTAGAAGTGATAGGATGTGACCTCCAAGGCTAAGTCATAAAAACAATGCAGCTTTTGCTTGACTTTCTTTTGGGCAACTTGCACCATGCTGACAGATAGCCCCCGCCACTTGAAAGGACCACGTGGAGAAAAAACAGATCTCTCATCAACATTTAGACCAGCCTGCCAGCCATGGGAGTTAGCCACCCTGGAATTGAATCCTTCTTCTCAGTCAAGCCTTTTGATGACTGCAGATGTAACCAACAACTTATCTTGTGAGATCCAAACCAGAGCTGCCTAGCTAAGCCACTCCTGAATTTGTGACCCAGAAAAAAAAATAAGAAATAGTAAATAATTATTGTTGTTTTAAGCTACTAAATGTTGAAGTAATTAGTGATATGGTAGTAGATTATGAATTCAAGTGCTGCTGGATTTTACTGGCCTTATGTTTCACTTTATTTCTGACGTCTTGAAGAGTTTTTCGTTTCTGATGCCTTGAACAGTTTTTGATGCCTTGGGATAATTTCATAGCATCAAATAATCTGTTCTTTGAAAATTTGAAAGAATTTGAGAAAACTTTTGTTCCAGTTATTTTTAAAGGTTGTAGTTGCTATTTCCCTAATCTTATTTTTATTTTTTTCTATTTGTGCTCCTTTTCCCCCCTTTGATTAACTAGCTTGTGATTTATCTACTTTGTTATTAATATTTTTCCTCTCAAAGGACTGGCTCTTGGATTCATTTAACAGTGGTAAATGTTTTCAAATTCCATCTTTTTTTTCATTAATTCCATCTTTTTTCATTAATTTTATAGTTTTCCCCTTAACATTTAAGTACTTACTTGATCTATATACTTAACCATTGTATATGGTATTAAGTTGGAATCCAGTTTTATTTTATCTCATATAGTTAATCAGTTTTCATAATGCTATCTGGTAAATAATCCTTACCTCTGTCTTTGATTTTTAATGCCACCTCTATTGTTAATATGTTTTTGTAGATAAAGAAGCACATTGGTTAGTCTCTGAGCCCTCTGCTCTGTTCTACTGGTCTATTTGTCTCTTCTGATTTTACTACTGTAGTTTTGGTGATATGTCAGTATCTGGTAGTCTTCCTGTTTGGTTTACTTGTCTTTACCAACTTATTTCCTTCCTTGTCAATTTTAAGGAACAGAAGTCTATTGCGTTCCTCAGAATAGCCATCTGAATATTTGACTGGAATGTATTGAATTTAAGTTACTGCATCCAAGAGCGTGGAAGCATGCTTCTCCTTTTATTTAGATAATCTTTCTTCTTTATTGGAATGTGAAAGTTTTCTTCAAATAATTATTTGTATTCTTGGTTAAGATAGGGTTTTTTTTCTGGTGTGAATGGTATCTTACTTTCTAGTAGTTGATTGCTGAGTCATTAAACTATTTATTGTATCTGATAGTTTTGCTGAACTCTCTTAATTTATAGTTTATTGTATACTCTTTTTCTAGGTAGATGGCCATAACTATGCAAATAATGACATTTTATATTTTTGCTTCTAATTCTTGTAGCTCTTAGTTCTTTTTCTTATAGTATTTGCCAGAATCTCTAGTGCTGTGTTGAAAGCAGCAGTGACGGTGGTCATTCTTGTTACCATTGTAAAGGGAATATATGTGAAGTTTCTCCATTAAGCTTAAAGTTCTTGATATTTAACCTTTGCCACTTTAGGGAGTTTATTTTTTTCCTCTAGTTTGCTACAAGTGTTTTTAAGAGAATACATCGGTGTTGAACTTCCTGAACTTTATAGCACTTGATTTTTCTGCATCAGTTGAGATTATCATGGATTTATTCTATAGTCTATTAATATAGTGAATTGTGTTAATAGATTTTTCTCATGTTGAACGATCCTTGCATTCCTATAATAAACTGTCTGATCATGATGCATATATTTGATATATTACTGAATTTAATTAGCTAATATTTTATTTAGGATTTTTGTATATTTACAAAATTTACAAATGTGCCTGTAATTTAATTTTATTTGTATCATTCTTATCTGGTCTTGGAATCCAAGATTATACTAGCTACATAAAATAAGTTGGCAATTTTCACTCTCTACTTTTGAAAACTATGTATTGTAATAGTAATTAAGTTAATTACATGTTTGCTAGAACTCAGCTATAAAACTCTTAGAGCCTTGGGATTAGGGAGAGGGAGGAAGAGCATGGCTACCATTTTAATTTAGTACTTACTAGTCTATATGATTTTTTATTAGTCTTTCATCTATTTTGCCATTTTATTTTTTTTATACTTCACTGGGAATTGATCCATTTATTTAGGTACATATTTAGGTGTATTTGCCTATAGCTCATAAATATCCTTATATATATAGTTCACAACACCCTTGCATCATTGAAAAATCTTATGTCAAAAGTTATTTCCTTATTTTGCTCTGTATTTTTTCATAACCGTGTTATTAAAAATCTGATTTTCATTGGTCTGACATTAAATTTTTAAGAACATCTTTTGGCTTTATGCATTTTCTCAATCATTTATTTGTTTCTTATATCTTTGACTTCCACTTTATTCTTCTTTTTTGAAGTTTGCTCTTTTTTTTTTTTTTTAATGGGGGATGGTTTCTCTTTTTTATACTCCTGAGCTGAATGATTTATTTCTAGCCATTTTCTTAACTTTTATTTTAGGATTAGGGTTATATATACAGCTTTGTTATATAAATTGTGAGTCATGAGTGTTTGACATTCAAATTATTTTGTCAACCAGGTAAAGCATAGTACCAGATAGGTAGTTTTTTTATCCTCTTCCTCCTCTCACCCTCTACCTTCAAGTAGGCCCTAATATCTGTTGCTCCCTTCTTTGTGTCCATGTGTTCTCAATATTTAGCTCGAAAATATAATTGAGAACGTGCAGTATTTGGTTTTCTGTTTCTGCATTAGTTCACTTAGGATAATGGCCTGCAGCTCCATCCATGTTGCTGCAAAGGACATAATTTTGTTCTTTTTTAATGCCTGTGTAGTATTCCATGGTATATGTGTACCACATTTTCTTTATCCCGTCTATTGTTAATGGGCATTTAGGTTGATTCCATGTCTTTGCTATTGTGAATAGTGCTGAAATGAACATACACATGCTTATTGTCTTTATGGTAGAACAGTTTATATTCCTTTGGGCATATACCCAGTAATGGGATTTCTGGGTATGGTAATTCTGTTTTAAGTTCTTTGAGAAATCACCACACCGCTTTCCACAATGACTGAACTAATTTACATTCCCACCATCAGCGTATTTAAGTATTCCTTTTTCTCTGCTACTTTGTCAGCATCTTATTATTTTTTGAATTTTTAATAATAGCCATCTGACTGGTATGATATGGTATCTCACTGTGGTTTTGATTTGCCTTTATCTGATGATTAGTGATGTTGAGCATTTTTTATATGCTTGTTGACTGCATGTATGTCTTCTTTTGAAAAGTGTTTATGTCCTTTGCCTACTTTTTAATGGGGTTGTTTTTTGCCTGTTAATTTGTTTAAATTCTTCATCGATTCTAGACTTTGGACCTTCGTCAGATGCATAGTTTGCAAATATTTTCTCCCATTCTGTATGTTGTCTGTTTACTCTGTTGATAGTTTCTTTTGCTGTGCAGAAGCTCTTTAGTTTAATTAGGTCCCATTTGTCAATTTTTGTTTTTGTTGCAATTGCTTTTGGTGTCTTCATCATGAAATCTTTGCCAAGTCCTATGTCCAGAATGGTATCCCCTAGGTTATCTTCCAGGGTTTTTACAGTTTTAGGTTTTCATGTAAGTCTTTAAACCATGTCGAATTGATTTTTGTATATTGTATAAGGAAGGGGTCTAGTTTCAATCTTCTGCATATGGCTAGCCAGTTATCCTAGCACCATTCATTGAATAGGAGTCCTTTCCCCATTGCTTGTTTTTGTCAACTTTGTTGAAGATCAGATGGTGGTAGGTGTGAGGCATTTTTTTCTGGGCTCTATATTCTGTTCCATTGGTGTATGTGTCTGTTTTCATATCAGTACCCTGCTGTTTTGGTTACTGTAGCTTTGTAGTTTGAAGTCAGGTAATGTGATGCCTCCAGCTTTGTTCATTTTGCTTAGGATTGCCTTGGCTATTTGGGCTCCTTTTTGGTTCCATATGAATTTTAAAATAGTTTTTTTTTTCTAATTCAGTGATGAATGTCATTGGTAGTTTGATGGAAGTATCATTGAATCTGTATACTGCTTCAGTATGGCCATTTTGATTATGTTGAGTCTATCCATAAGCATAGAATGTTTTTCCATTTGTTTATGTCATCTCTGATTTCTTTGAGCAGTGCTTTGTAATTCTTGTTGTAGAGATCTTTTACCTCCCTGGTTAGCAGTATGCATAGATATTTTATTCTTTTTGTGGCTATTGTAAATGGGATTGCATTCTTGATTTGGCTCTCAGCTTGGATGTTGTTGGTATATAGAAATGCTACTGAATTTTGTATATTGGTTTCGTATCCTGAAACTTTCCTGAAGTTGTTTATTAGCTAAAGGAGCTTTGGGGCAGAGACTCTGGGATTTTCTAGGTATGGAATCATGTCATCTGCAAACAGAGATAGTTTGACTTCCTGTCTTTATTTGGATGCCTTTTCTTTCTTTCTATTGCCTGATTGCTCTGGCTAGGACTTCCAGTACTGTGTTGAATAGGAGTGGTGAGAGTGGGCATTCTTGTCTTTTTCTGGTTCTCAAGGTAAATACTTTGAGCCTTCACCTATTCAGTATGATGTTAGTCTAGCTGGGGTTTTTTAATTTTATTTATTTATTTATTTAAGACAGCATCTCGCTCTGTCTTGCAGGCTGGAGTGCAGTGGTACAATCACAGCTTATTGCAGCCTCAACCTCCCAGGCTCAATTGCTCCTCCTACCTCAACTTCTTGAGTAGCTAGGACCACAGGTGTGGGCCACCATGCCTGGCTAATTTTTGTATTTTCTGTAGAGATGGGATTTCTCCATATTGCCTAGGCTGGTCTCAAACTCCTGGGCTCAAGCAATCCGCCCACTTGGGGCTCCCAAAGTGCTTGGAATTACAGGTGTGTGCCACTTTGCCCAGCTGCTCTAGCCATTTTTGTTTCCTTCAAGTATTTCATTTGGATCTTGCACATTTTTTACGTAATTATTGTCATTATTACATTTAGATTTTGAAGAAAAAACAATTAAGAATTGTTATATTTTTCTTTTAAATTTGAAGATTATTTAATAATATAGTATGTTACTTGGGTTTCAGAAGTGTGGACTTTTAAAATTCTATTGTTAATAATTTCAAATTTTATTACATTGTAGCTAGATAATGTATTCTATATTATGTTGATGCTTTGGAATTTATCATGATTTCTTTTATGGACTAATACATGGTCTATCTTATAGTACTATGTATTCATGAAAATAATCTGTATTTTGTATTTTGATGGTGTAGAGTTCAACACAGATAAAATAACTGAAGCTTATTATTTGTAGTGTTTAGTCTTCATATTATTAGGGTTTTTTGTTTGCTTGCTATAATTTTTTGAGAGGGACATATTAATATCTATCATTACAACTAATGGTATGTATATTTCCCCTCACATTTGTGACACTTGTCATTTGATACATTTTGAAATTTTATCTGTGGATTCAATTTATTTTGGATATTTTTTCCTACTGTTCATATAAAAAACATTTTTGTCCCTTATGGTATTTTTGCCATAAATTTTACTCATCTGAAATTAAGTTTGCTATTTCAGCTTTCTTTTGATTCGTATTTTTGCAATCTTTTTTTATCCTTGTATTTTTAAATATTTTTCTTTTTAGTGTATCTGTTCTAAACCACATGCTAAATCTTATTTTTTAATCTGAGTCTTTTAATCTGTAATATTAAATTATTTAAATTTATTATAATTATTTTATTATTTTTGCCATCTTTTCTTATTTTCTGTTTTCCCGTGGAGCAAGTTGTCTTCTGTTTTTATTTTGTTTTTCATAGATTTCATTTTGTTTCTTATGATGGTTGTGCTTAACTTAAAACCCACATTGACTTTTATTTACCCCTACTGACTTTTTAAATGTATTAATATCTAGGTCATATTTTTAATAAGACATGGACTTTAGCACACTCTTATATCTGTCTCTTTCTCCCCTCATGTTTGTATTGTCAAGAATTGTAGTTCAGATATGTAGGCACTGATATACTTTCTATGTCTCCTTTTTTCTTTGTTCACTCCTATTTCTTTTGTTGTTAGTTTTGTTTTATGATAACAATAAACTTCACCAAGGTACTTGATCACCTTTCTTGTCATATTTCATGCAGCCTTTCCTGGATTAGTTTCTCTTCTTAATTGACTTATTAGAAAAATAGGTAAGTGTATATGTTTAAAATATATTTAGGTTACTTATTAAAATAATAGAAACTATGTGTGAAATTGAAATCTATATAGATGAAAAGGTGGCGATGTGAAGAAATTAAAGCATAAAACTGTCAATCTAAGAGACAGGAAAGGAAGAATAAAAAATAATATGTTAGAAATAAGCCTGTATTAGTAATCACAATAAATGAACATGGATAATAAAATAACTGAGTCATACTGATTGAATGAAAAACAGAAATCTTTCTCTGTGCTCTTTACAAGAGACTTATTTAATGTCACAATAAAAGGTCAATAATGTTCAATAGTTAAGATCCATCAAGGAGATGTATTAGTCATGAACTAATATGTAGCTAAGAATCCATTTCAAATTGTATAAGCAAAATCTGACAATATTAGAAGAAGGAATCAAAACTCCAGATGTATAGAGAATGATTTTAACTGACCTTTCTTGAAAAGGACCTTAAAGAAAACTAATAATCGGAGAGAGCTGTGTTCATAGATGAGAGGACAAAAGAGATATCAAGTTTATATAATATTGTTGGGGGGTTACTTATATACCAAAAAAGGAGTGGAAAATTATCAGACTCCTGGGAGAAATAATACATCCTAGTTGGTCAAGGAAATGGAACAAGAATGAACCTGGACATTTGTTGTGCCAGAAAGTAAGGAAGCTCTCAAACACCAAAAAAGGTCATATTACAAACCCAGGAGCCAACCTGAAGGGATTCCTACTAGTCTGAGATGAGAGAATCTTGCACATCGAAAAGAAAAATGACTGCAATTTAATTGCAATCCATCCAGTATGTAAGAATCAGTGAGTATGAAAACACTGAAAAGCAAAATAATACAAATCTCACTGGTCATAGTTGGTGATTGCTTTGCCCCATCTCATTACTCTGAAAATTGATTTTTGAAAGAGAGTAAGTTTGGGAGATAATCAAGCATTTTATCTTATCTTTTTCATTAGGATTACATTTCAGGATAACCAGAAAATTTGTAATGGCAAGTTTTTCATTATAGAAGAATTATAGCATATGTATGCACAAGGTATGTAGAATTACAGAATTAGACAACCAATTTGTAAAACCTAATGAAATCACAAATCCAGGAAATGATCATCTATTGCTAAAACTTTTAGTGAAAGGTTTAAGAGAATCTTAGAATGGAAGGACTGGGCTGACAGCACCTGAAGCCATTGTTCAGTTTAGCTAACTAAAATGTACTATAGGAAGTATATAGGCAGGTATTCTTGTCGGAAAGAATGAACTGTAGTCTAATCAAGTCCCTGGAACAAAAGAACCAGCTAACAGGAAGTGAATAAAGAACTTAAACACCACAAGAAAACATTAGCCAGATCATTTTTAATCCTTCAGAATTCATTAGTTTGGAGTATATCTCTTATAAGCAGTATGCCACTTTATTTTAAAACTCAATTTTAGTATCCTTTTCTCTATCAATAGGCTTGTCATCTTAGTTTATTGTTTATATAATTCTTTTCTTCTTTTCTGTTTAGATTTATTGTACTTACTAATTTTGAATATAGATGTCTTGCTTTTATTGCTCCACTGGGGGAAAATATTTGTAACATATTTTTAAAAATATTTTCAAGGGACATTTTGTAGTATTTTTTAGTAAACTGAAATACAGATGCCTGACAATTTCACTTCTAGAAGTTTATCATACAGAAATATATCTATTTGTCATATAGAATTATTTATATTTATCATATAGACATTATCATATATAAATATTACAATAGAAATATGATATATTTAAGAGAATTCTTTTGCTATATGTTGTAGCCAAGAAACTGGAAATGATCTTAACGTCCATTAATATGGGAACATTTAAGTCTTGGACATCAATAAAATGAAATGCTACGTAACTTTTACAAATAATATTAGTTATCTATTATTGCATAACAAATTATTTAATACTTAAAACAGCAAACATTATCTCACCCAGTTTCTGAGGGTGAGGAATCTGGAAGAAGCTAAGCTGTCTCAAGGTGTCTCATGAAGTTGCAGTGAAGCTGTCAGCAGGGACTGTAGTCATCTGAAAGCTGCACCGTGGTTGGAGGATCCACTTCTAAGATAGTTTACTCACATGGCTGTTGGCAAGATGTCTCATTTCTCAACGAAAGCAGAAGGTCCCAGTTCCTCACCACAGGGCTGCCTAGGTTTTCTCATGACATGACATATAGCTTTTCCCAGAGCTAGTGATCCCAGAGAGAGAGCAAGAAAGAAGCTGCAGTGACTTTTATGACCCCGCCTCCAAAGTTGCATGCCACTACTTCCTTATCCACTTTATTTCCTATTCATCAGAAGTTACTCACCAAGTTCAGCCTATATTCAAGGGGTGGGGAATTAGGCTTCACTTCTTGAATGGAAAGGATCAAATAATTTGTGGGCATGTTTAAAAATTATCACAAATAAGACAGGTCTACCTGTACTGAAGTGGGAAGTTGTACACTATGTATTAAATGAAAAAAAGAAAATTGCAGAATTATCATGTCTTTATTAAGGAAAAAAATCAGTGAAGTATGAATGTGTGTTGTGTATACATGGAAGAAGGTTAGAACACAGTGAAAACTGGTTATAGTGGTTATTTCTTAAATTATTTGGGGGAAGGTAGGCTTTTAATTTTTACTTATGTTATTTCAGTATTTTAAATATTTATGAACTTATTTCCAGTAAAAGAAATTAGACTCCTAATTGCTAGTATGTTTTTAAAATAAATCCTTAAATTTTTTAAAAAATAACAAATCCAGTAACTACAGATTGAGTTTTATTTTTATTGTACTTTTTATAAAATTAGAGATCAGTGAGTCCATTTATTTTCCAGATACCAACTTTCACAGTTTTCAGTCCTGTAGTTTGAGTTTCTGAGCATCCCAAATTTTTCTTTTTTTAATTTATATATTTAAAGTGGATTCATTATATTTAAAATTTATTAAACTTATTTTATAAACATTAAAAATATACCACTAGGTATTTAAATACATGGCTCTGAATGTTCTCATTCTTGAGTTCTTATTTGTGGTTAATGTTTTATTGTTTAGACATGTATTTTCATGTAGTTTATTTGGAAAATAGTAGTTTGGTGGCATATTTTTTACCCTTGAATATTTCAGTACATCTTTCCTTTGCCCTTCTTCATTAACACATTATGACAGTATATGGAAATCTCAACTGACAACCCTTCATCAAACATTTTTAATTTATCTCACTTTTATTTAATAGGTAGTGCTGGGTTTAAAAACCTCTATGATGTAACTACATAATCTTATACAAGTAACTTAGTCTTGCTAAACGTTAGATTGCGTATTCATTTATTGTGAATAATAATACCTTATTGGATTGTTCTGAGAGTAAATGAGATAACATAGCCCTATTCATACAATAAACATTCAATAAGATTTAGCTGCAGCTATGATGGTGCTGCTGCTGCTGCTGATGATGATAGTATTTGGCTTTCCTTCCATTTTGTTGTAAACTCCTTAAAAGTATCTGTTTCCTTTATTCTTAGTAGGTACTCAATATTTTAAATTGAAATTTAGAATTGAGAATGTGTGATCAAATAGATACAATGAAAATTTTAAAAAATAAAATGGCTTTGTCACATAACCAATTTATGATCTGTTCTTTCCACTAAAATAATTACTTTAGGCAGTTTTAATACATATATTTATCTGTTTTCCATTCTAAAATGCATAATAGTAGTAGAAAGCTACCTACAACATGGGATTTCTGTGAGGAGTAACTGAAATATAGGTAAAAAACTTAGTAGACAAGTGCTGTATAGGTGTTTCTTTTGATAGTGATGATGTTTCATGATTGGATATATTATTTAGCTATTTAACTACTATTGTTATTACCTCTCCTTACCTTTCTTGGTTTTCTCCTTTACTGAAGTTCTTGTTTTTTCTATTCGGCTTGCCACATATCTTATCTGCTAAATGTCTTTATCTTTGTCCATCTTCTCACTTAGATTTCTTTTTCCTAGAAAGCCTGATCTTTGACCAGATGGCAGTAACATTTGAAGATGTGACTATTATTTTTACATGGGAGGAGTGGAAATTCCTGGATTCTTCTCAAAAAAGACTCTACAGGGAGGTCATGTGGGAGAACTACACAAATGTCATGTCAGTAGGTAAAGTTATCCCGTCTCATAGGGAATAGAGTTTCTTCTAGGAGCAGTTTTGTTGAGTATTTTGTTTTTTTATCTGGGTGTTATATTGAGGTGTTGGAAGAGATATTCTCAAAAATGTTTCTTAAATCATGTTACAAATAGAAGATAAAGCAAGACAGATTCCAGGACACCTAGGTTATATCATTAATAGATACTTGTGATTATTAGTTTTAGTTATTCTCTGCATTACCCTTAAAACACATATCTCCATATGTAGTCAATTTTGTGTGGTCCTAAATTTTTTCTCTCTTCATGCTATTTGTATAAGTTAGCTTTTGTTGTATAACATACTATGCCAGACTTAGTGGCTTAAAAACAAACTTTATTATTTTTTATGATTCTCATTGACTGGATGATCTTTTATCATGGAGGATTTGGTTGTGGTTGAATGGTCTAAGATTAAGCTGCCTGGCCTGACTCAAATGTGGGGCAGTCGGCTCAGTATCAGTGGAGGTAGTGGGAATGTGTTGGCCATATATCTCTCTTCAAACAAGCCAACCCAAGCACACTTACATGGTGGTGGTCACGGGATTTTCAAAAGCATCGAGAGAGGGCAAGGACTTTTCAAGTCTCTGCTTGTGTTACTTTTGTTATTTTCCCAGTTACCAACGCAAATTGTGTAGCCAAGCATAGAGAGAGTGTGGAAGGAGAACACCAAAGGTGTAGGTAAAGTAGTGAGTTAATGTAGTCATTTTTTCTCAATCTACCATGCTATTCTAGAACAGAAAAATAGGAACAATATATTTTGTTTCTTATAAGAGCATACAAAATGAAGTAATCTAATTAAATCTCAGTCTTTACGACTATTTCCATGAAGCAGTTGGCATTATTCTCATTTCTAACAGTGCGTGGTAAATAGAAGTTAAATCTTTCTAACAGTGCCTGCTCAAGATATGTTTGTGGAATGAATAAATAAGTGAATGAATGAATACATACATGAATGAACAAAATAAATGAATTTCAGACCCAAATGGAGCAGGCAGAGTCATAACCCTTCTTTCCTACCCCCAGCCACACATATATTCCTATCATTTAAAGGTCATTGATTTAGATAGTTGGAAATTTTTCAACACAGCTTTTATCTCACCATGGGATTATCTTTTTATTTTTCTAGAAAACTGGAATGAGAGCTACAAATCCCAAGAAGAAAAATTCAGATACTTAGAATATGAAAATTTTTCCTACTGGCAAGGCTGGTGGAATGCTGGCGCCCAGATGTATGAGAATCAGAACTATGGGGAAACTGTTCAAGGGACAGATTCCAAAGACCTCACACAGCAAGATCGTTCCCAGTGTCAGGAATGGTTAATACTCTCCACACAAGTACCAGGGTATGGGAACTATGAACTGACTTTTGAAAGCAAAAGTCTCAGGAACTTAAAATATAAAAATTTTATGCCTTGGCAGTCCTTAGAAACAAAAACCACTCAAGACTATGGTAGAGAAATCTACATGAGTGGTTCACATGGTTTTCAAGGGGGCAGATACCGTCTTGGCATATCCAGGAAAAACCTCTCCATGGAAAAAGAACAGAAGCTCATAGTTCAGCATTCTTATATCCCAGTGGAGGAAGCCCTTCCACAGTATGTTGGGGTGATATGTCAAGAAGACCTACTGAGAGATTCAATGGAAGAAAAGTACTGTGGATGTAATAAATGTAAAGGAATTTATTATTGGAACTCACGGTGTGTTTTCCACAAGAGAAATCAACCTGGAGAAAACCTCTGTCAATGCTCCATCTGTAAAGCATGCTTCTCTCAGAGATCAGACTTGTATAGACATCCAAGAAACCACATAGGTAAGAAGCTGTACGGATGTGATGAAGTTGACGGTAACTTTCATCAGAGCTCCGGAGTTCACTTTCATCAGAGAGTTCACATAGGGGAGGTACCTTATAGCTGTAATGCATGTGGTAAGAGCTTCAGCCAGATCTCTAGTCTTCACAATCATCAAAGAGTCCACACAGAAGAGAAATTCTATAAAATTGAGTGTGATAAAGACCTCAGTAGAAATTCATTACTTCACATTCACCAGAGACTTCACATAGGAGAGAAGCCTTTTAAATGTAATCAGTGTGGTAAGAGTTTTAATCGGAGTTCAGTACTTCATGTTCATCAGAGAGTCCACACAGGAGAAAAACCATATAAGTGTGATGAGTGTGGTAAGGGTTTCAGCCAGAGCTCAAATCTTCGAATTCATCAGTTAGTACACACAGGAGAGAAGTCTTATAAATGTGAAGACTGTGGTAAAGGCTTTACCCAGCGCTCAAATCTTCAAATTCATCAGAGAGTGCATACAGGAGAGAAACCTTATAAATGTGATGACTGTGGAAAGGACTTTAGTCACAGCTCAGATCTTCGCATTCATCAGAGAGTCCATACAGGGGAGAAACCCTATACTTGTCCTGAATGTGGGAAGGGCTTCAGTAAGAGTTCAAAGCTTCACACTCATCAAAGAGTACATACTGGAGAGAAACCCTACAAATGTGAAGAGTGTGGCAAGGGATTCAGTCAGCGTTCACATCTTCTCATTCATCAGAGAGTCCATACAGGAGAAAAGCCCTATAAATGTCATGATTGTGGAAAGGGTTTTAGTCACAGTTCTAATCTTCACATTCATCAGAGGGTCCATACAGGAGAGAAGCCTTATCAATGTGCTAAGTGTGGTAAAGGTTTCAGTCATAGCTCAGCTCTTCGAATTCATCAAAGAGTCCATGCAGGAGAGAAACCTTACAAATGCCGTGAATATTATAAGGGATTTGATCATAATTCACATCTTCACAATAATCATAGAAGAGGAAACTTATAAATATTGTTCATTTAGTTAACAGCTTTAATCAAAGTTTACCTAACCTTTAAACCCTATAAATCCTGCTGTTAAGGAAATCTTATAAATAACACAAGTAATCCCAAGCAACATTTATAGTTTCCCCTATCTCCCACTAAGAATTATTTGCTTCAAAAGGAGATCTTTAGAAAAAACCCTATATATTTAAAATTATAGTGTATTTTTCTTTACCTACTATAAATATAATACAGTCATAAATATATTAAACATTTAAGGAGAAAACTCTTCATTCTATTTCATTCTAGTCTTTTTTTCTGTGCATTTTAATGTGCATGAAATTGTGTGTTCAATTTTGTATTTTCACTGTCTTCAAAATATTTACTTAAATTTTGGTTTGAATTGAAACTGGTTGGCCAACTGTTAAACGACATCTCTTAACTCCCCTAAAAACTCCCTAGGAAGTAACAGAAAAGATGGAAACACATAGAACTTAAAACTCAGTTTTGGCCGGTAGAATTCAATTGTTTATGGACAAAAGCCACCTAATAAAAGATAGGAAAGCATTGTATGACATTGTGTCTGAGACAGTGTATCTGAGTTGTTATCTCTGTCAACCAGAAAACCCAGGGACCATCCTTCTGTTGCAGGGGTGCTTCACTTTGAGGTGACTACAGTGCACTCATCCCTTCCCTTTCCGGTTTTCCACGCTTAATAATAGGTTCAGATACCAAACAACAAGAAGTACAGAATTTTCTCTAAGGTGTGAAGGGTATGGACAAAAGTGCTAGAAATGGAAGATACTCCATTGGTTCGGAATTAGAGATCCAAGCAGTAGAATTTTATTTAATCTCAGTAGAACAGAGTGGTAATAGAGAAATATCTGCAAGGACAGCATTGAACTCAGAACTCTGTGCAACGATGAACCCTGAAGCTAATTATGTAAAAAGAGAGTTTGGCCATTATCTCAGAATAGAGTTAGTCGGAATACACAGTCTTAATTATTGATACACAAATATGCTGAAGTAATACCAAGAGAAAAAAAAGTGGACATGTTTAGGAAAATTAGAGGGAATTGCAATACTGAAGAAAAGAATATCATCCTAAAGACCTGGAAACTTATTGCCCTGAAAATTAGCTGCTGCAGGCTTCAGAGGAAATTTCCAGAAATGTTGGTGTCCTTAGTGGCATAACAGAGAATCTGAACTCAGTAAAGATAGAGTAGAAATATACAAGTAGAGAAGAGTATCTAAAGTGAAAAGAGAAATAGATACAACAAAGAAGGACTTCAGGGAGCTCTGAAATACTGTATCAAAATAAATGCAATAAAAAGTAACACTGAAGAATATAAAATAATTGATAGTTAATAGATAAACTTGATCTGATCTTAAATGTATCTGAAAAGGATAATGAGATGGAAACTAAGAAAGAACAGATATGAATATCAGAGGATGGAGGTCCAGTGTGAGAATTAAAGGTGTCTCTAAGGAAGGTGAAAGAACATTTGGCATAGAATCAATGATCAAAGACATTAAGAAACTTTCTCTGAGTTAAAAGTATATGGTCACTAAGTTTTAGGCAAAACCAGTATTAAAGCAACCTTAGAAACAGGTTAGAAAGAAGCAATTAAAAGCATGCAGAAAGAAAAATTCTGGTTATCTGCAAAACCAGAAAGGGAGGGTGGATACAGAGCTCTGCAACAGTAACTCAGAAGGCAATGGAGCAGCACGTTCAGAATTTTGAGATTTGAAAAGTTTATTATCACCAGTTTTATAACAAAAGTGTCTTTCATATGTGCAGGAAACAAATATTTTTGATAAGCAAGAAAACAGTGTAGCGTATATGTGCCTTAAAGAGAGTTTGTGAATGTGGAAATCATGGTATAAAAGGACTAGTGATAAGCACTGAAATCAATTAGATATGCAGTTGTCTGGATAGTTTCCAAAACTTCAAAAAATTAAATGTGCAATAAAAATATACAAATGCTGAGTGTAAAGTGTACAAATGCTGAGTCTGGGTAGGAGAGTAAGGTTGTCAGGACACCCAGTTAAGTTTGAATTTCATATAAGCAAAGAATAATTGTTTTAGTATAAGGGTGTCCCAAATATTGCATGGGACTTACACTAAAATTTCATACATTTGAAATTCAAATTTAACTGGTCATTTCTGTTTTTAGTTGCTACATCCGGCAACTGGAGAGAGACCATAAGTGCCACATTTCTGATCTTAAATAGCAGGGACTCATAATAACATTTTCTTTTTGAATGACAATTTAAGAAAGGCCTTTTTTTTTTTTTTTTACAAACCTAAAATTACAACTTAATAAAACTAAAAAAAGTGCATATACCTTTCAAAATGGGAGAAGATAAAAGCAAAAATTATTCAGTCTCTGTAGCAATGACTACCAAAAAAATCCCCAAGAAGTTGGCCTAAAATATTAAAATAAACGGATCAAGATGATTAAAGCCAAATGTATCAAAACACGTTCAATGCTTCATTTTAAAATGTTGAAAACACTGGGTTAAAAATTTCTAATTATGTGCTATAACAGATGAAAATGTGATATTGCTTAAATGTGAGACCAGGTGAAGGTTTATTAGACAAACATAAAGGAGTACCTACAATATGTTTTTAAAGGTGAAAAGTGCACTAATTTAAACTCATTAAGTTGGGCAAAAATACAAAATCATTAGTTTTCTAAATTCTTGGAATATTCAGGAAATGTAATTGTCAAAAAATCTGGTTTTTAATTTACAAAAATGCAGAATGAAAATAATAAAAAACGGGGAAATATAAAAGAGGACTTGACTAGAGGAGTCTTAATTTTCCTTAAGGGAATGTTCCTAATTTATATATTTGTTTCAGATCTCATGAAAATCCCAATGAATTTGAGATAAAGATGTTCTAGTCTTTTAAGGAAAATAGACATTGGAGAAGAGCAAAGATAATTGTAAGAAAGATTAATGATATTGCCCTAACATATAATAAATTGTATATTGGTATATGAAGTTGTAATAATGGAGAATTTAATTGTATATTTGAAAAAAAAAGTTAGGATTCTAAGTCACTAAATAGCTTAGAAATATACCAGTGTATGGATTATATATGTGTATTTGAACATACAGTGCATATGCTTATAGAGTTCACACATGATAAAGATCTGCGAATAGGAGGATTATTCAGTAAATTGTGCTGAGATCATTATTTAACTCTTTAATAAAAAAGACTTTCATTTCATGACCTATATCAGAATAAAACATTGATTGAATACAGGTTTTCAAGCTGTGTTCCATGGACCTCCATGTGGTTTCATGAAGACTAGTATCTTCAGAAGCAAAAGAACTGCAAGTGTAGCCACATTTTATCTCTTCATATGCAAAAATGACTTGATTTTGTTTTTTTAAAGGAGGTTCCACTATAAAATATTTAAAATTCTCTAGAGGGATTTTTAAACACTCAGAAAAAATACACAATTTGACCACATAAAAATTTTTAAACTGGGTGAAAAACATATAAGTCAGACAAAAATAGGAGAAATATTTGCCATGATTGTGACAGTACAAACTCTTTTTAATTAAATGGACACCTAATTTAAAATTTTGACGAAGAACATAAACAGATTAAAGCAAAGCAGTATCACTTTTATTAACAAAAATGACAATAGCCATTTTCAGCAAGAGTATGGAGTGATGTATACTTATGCTTATGTTGAGGGTAAATTGATAACGACTTTTTGGAAAAACAATTTGGCCAATCCTGAGCCTTAAAATTGCTGTTACTCTTTGCTACAGTAATTCTACAGGAATATGTTCTATGGAAATAGAGTTTCATACTATTAGGGGGCTTGTAAAGAACAGGGTTATGTAACATCATATGGTAGAAGCTCATATGCACATACTCAGATCCCAGGATGTTATCTCACTAAAACAAGTGAGGGAGCAAGTGAGCCATGGAGCTCTCCATGGAAAAAGAATTCTGTGTAGAGGGTAGAGCAAGTGCAAAGGGTCTGAGGCTAGGAATGGACCTGGAATGTACTGCAGCACTGTAAGGGAGGAGGAAAACAGAGGGAAATTAAAGGTAATAGGGCCTTGTAAGTAATTGTAAAGGCTTTGTCTTTTATTCTAAGTGAAGTAAAAAGCCACTGGAGGGTTTTAAGTGATCTAACAAATTTAAACAGGCTTATTCTGAATGCTGTGTTAAGAACTGACAAAGTAGAGGCTAGAGCCAAAGCAGGGATTCCAATTAGGAGGTATTGCAGTTACCCCTAAAAGAGATAAGGTGTTAACATAGTGTTAACAGTGGAGGTGACAGAAATAATCAAATATTGGATATATTTTGACCATGATGAATATATCAGAAATTAATTTTAAAACTGGACTTTATTTAGTATTTTAATAGGTAAAAAGGAGGCCAAAATCCTTTACTACTTTACAGACAGGAAGAATTGCTTGTAAAATCTTACAGTTGAACACAGTGTTTTAGGGACTGTGAAATCAGTCTGTCTAGATTAATGTTTCAAGATTAATTAAAACATTAACCTCAAATATCAATGTTGAGATTTAAGCTACTCTTAAGGGACTAGAGGGTTTTGTTTTTTCATTTGGATAATATAAAGTTCAAGTCGTGCCATGGGAATAGTCATGCCCAACTTTGGGGAGTCAGGGTAGGCTTTCCAAAGAGAGAGGTTCTCATCTTAGTCCAGAATAAATTGCAATAACCTGAGGGGGTGGACAAGGAGGAGTTAAAAGTGTTTCAAGCAAAGTGAGAAAAATGCAGTTTTAGGAATAAATATAGCCTATTGGTTAAGAGCAAGGCTTCCTGAGCTGAGATCAGTTTTTGGGAAGACAAGGTATATTTCTACCTAATGTCAACAAACATAATCATTGGCTCAGTGTGAACTGGGAGTAATACAGACTCTCATCAGCAATTCTGGTGAGAAAAGTATCAGAGTCAGGCAGATCCTGTCAGAAATTCCTATCAAATTGAATGATTAAATCCTAATATCTATTGAATATTAATATGGGGTATGCAGAGGCTGAAAAACTATGACCCAGTCAAAAAGGCAATGCTATGGTGTGTTTCTGTTTCTGTCTAATCAGGCCCTAAAATTTGGAATACAGACCACAATCACTGCACCCATAAGATATCCTTCACTGAACATTAAAATTAATTGTCAGATGAATTAGAACTCTAACATTCTTCAAAATAGTTTCCTGGTGAACAGTGACAGCACAGTGGCTGAAGGATCCAAAAGGCTCACTGGGGTTTTACCCAGAATCTGTCCTTTACTGATGTTATGGGATTGGGATAATCTTTTGACCTCTCTGAGCTTAAGCAGCTTCAGCTATAAAATAAAATGTCGAAATAAGATGAGTCCTAAGGCTACTGCCCAAACAAATTGATCTTTTCTCTAGAATAGTGCCTATTCACATAATAAAGTATTAATTTTCACAGCACACTGATTCTCAGTCTTAGAAGTTTAATGTCATTAAAATTTCACAACTGCTTTGAGAAAGGTCCCACAAGGCACATTCTATAGTCAAGAGAAATTGTGGCATAGAAAAGTTCATGATTCACCAGAGGGTAAGATTCCTATGAGCTTCTTATCACAACATTTTTGTCAACGGATCAATACATAATTTGCCTTTAATATGCGATATTAGTATTAAATGGTATTAATATATAATATATAAAATATATATAAAATAACATTTACTATATTGATTTGTTAATACTGAACTCACAAGACAACAGCACTATAATGCCTGAAGGAAGCTTCTCTTTCACATGTATTTTTTCCTAAGGTACATCACAGCCCTCTTGTACTTAGGAACACTAGACAGCACCTTAGCACTATACTTGGGACCATTTTAAACAGCAAAAATCAACAAAAAGCACAAAAATGCTAAAACAGCACTAAATATATTGTGAAAGGATGCTTTTTATGGTAGAAGAGCTAAAACAAGAAGGTATGGCATTGCTTTGTTCAACCTCAGCTGGTCACATGCACCTTGGGCAACTTGAAATTTGCTCTGCTCTGCACATGTGTACAAATGACTGGGGAAAGTGCTACAAGTATTGATTTGGGTTACAAATAAATTGTAGTGAGTAGGTGAATTTACAAATATGAAATCCATTAGTAATGAGGTTAAACTGTATATAAAATCTAGGCAAGCCAATCAAACATAAAGGCATAAGAAAGAACAAAAAATAGGATAAGGAAGAAAATGTAATCATAGAACACTGCTTATCTCTGTTTGGACAATATGGCATAGTCATAAAAATGTGATCACTGAAAATAAATTAACAAAAAATTGATAGAAACTATGTTAGTAGGATCATGGAAGGGTAAGTGAGAGGGGGTATAAAAACACCAAATTTCCATCTCCCATAATAGAAAAAAAGCAGAAGGAAGTACCTAAAATTGTCAATCTTACTGCATAAGCATAGTGCAGTATTTAGAAATAGGTAGGTAGATACAAAAAGAATCAGCTCAAAGTGATTTCTCTGAGGATCAGAGGCTAAAATGAAGTAGGAAATAGTGTTGCCAGAAAAAGAGGTCCCAATCCAGACCTTAAGAGAGAACTCTTGGGTCTAAGCAGGAAGGAATTCAAGGCGAGTTGCAGAGTACAGTGAGAAGAGAGTTTATTGAAAGCTACCCAGATACAGAGTAGGGTGTCCTCAGAAACGAAATGGAGGAATGTGCCTTCTTTGTTTTAAACTGTTCTTGTATAGGAGTCTTATCTATGTAAAAACTATTACGTCTATGTGGGGGTAGGCTGACAGCGTGACAAAATTTAGTACTTTGTTTTTAAAAAGTTTTCTGTGGCATTTTAGTGCATAAGTACATCAAAGCATGACTATATCGTAAAAGTATACATTGTTATGTGATACCGGGACATCTGGACATTCTGCCATCATAGGAGTTTATCCTTGCAAGCATTACTAAACTGCTTCCTTAGCCAAAAACATGTTATGACTGTGCATTGTGACTGGCCAGGAATGTGCCTTGCTGGTTTTACGATGGAGTTGATTTAAAAATAGTATTACCGTAGCTCTCCTATGCTCCTGTTTACTTAACAATAATGTGACTAGCCAGAATCTTAACCTGGGTCAGATGTCCCAGAATGAAAGCATACATAGCTGGATGACTCGTTCAGACCTCAGAGCTGGTACATGTTAGAAATGTGTTCATTGTAGAAGCTGAAAGAAAAGTCCCAATGGTTGATTCTATGGGCCCCTTGGTGAGGAACAGCTTTCTCACAGCATGTGACATAATTCTGTGGCACAGCACGATCTGTCAGTCCTGTCCTCGAAATCTAATACAGCTGAGTATTTTTCCCTCTGAGGACAATTTACACATTTTATTTATACTTTACTGTTAGTGTAAAAAGGTTGATTTAAGACAAAGTTGATATCCTGTCATATTATTCATAGCATGTTTATCCTATTGATGGTTGCGGAAGCAGCACAGATTCTTTGGCCATTATTAGCAGTCTTCACTCTTGAAATACAACTTTGACAATATATTAATTATGCCACTTTGCTAACACTGATGTTTTGGTTACCTATTGCCATTTTACCTAACAACAACCATTTTATTTGCTCACAATTGTGAAATCTGGGCTAGGCTGAGCTGAGCTGCTTGGTTCTGCTCGTCTTGCCAGTGTGCATTCCTGTGATTGCATTAAGGAACAAGCTGGGCTGTGCTTTTTCTCTCTCCATGTAGTTTCAGGACTTCTCCCTCTTCACATAGTTTCTACATGGCATTTCCAGCAGAATTCCTGGATTCTTCCTGAGTTGCTCAGGGATCCTAAGAGCTCAAGAGTAGAAACTTCCAGCCCTTCATGAAATTTCAGTGCAAACTATCACTTCTGCCATATTCTATTAAGGAAGAAGAGTGACAGGACCACCCTAGATTCACAGGAAGGGGACTACACAACGTTATGAACACCAAGAGGCGGTTCACGGGGAGATGCCAGTAGAGCCAGTGGTGTTCTGACAAATTGACAGGTAACTAGTTGTAGTAATAATAAGCTTGCTCTGGCTAACCAGTCAATGTAAGAGATTATATTGGAAATTAAAAGTGGTATTAAAATATTACCAAATGAGGAGTTATGATTAATCATACAGAAAGTCGGGCAAAGTAGAATTTGGACACAAAATCATGAAAATATGAGCCATGCAATGAAAATATGAGAACTCTAGAAGTGTAGAAGTCATAAAGATTCTAAAGCATTGTTTAGTTTACTTACAAATGTTGAACTGAGATGAGATACTGACAGCACAAAGAGAAAAGGAAGGCTTAGCCTGAGCTCTTAAGGAGGAAGTAAAAAAGCAGTTGCGGGTGTGTAGGGGTGACTTGGAGTTTGGTGGCAGTAAGTGCAGGAGGCCTGAGGGGGCTCTAGGGTAGGGCCCTCATCCACTGTGGTGGGCGGGGGAGCACTGGAGTACCAGCCCCGACGGTGTGTGCTGCCACAGCCCCAGCCCTGCCGCAGGCAGTGTCTTAGGGAAACCAGAGGCAGGGAGGGTGTCCAGACCTTGGGCCTGTACACTGGCTGGTGCTGGACATCCTGGAGGGAAGCAGGGAGGCTAGGGGAAAGTGGAATCACAGATAACAAGGAGCCATCCATTCTGACCATGAAGAAACGCAGGCAAAGAAATAGTAAGCGGTTGTCCAGAACTCTACCATGATTATTACAAGGTTTGTGACCTGAGACTCTTTGCCCTTTCCCACAGTCCAGGCAGCTTGTCCAGGATTAAAGTCAGGGTGTTGATGAAAACACTTTTCTCACATGATGAGGCTGGAAAGCTTTGAAAAGGAGGATATAATTTTGGTATGTGATATCAAGTGTGATGCTAACTTGATTTCCTGCCTATGCCTACATATTTTGCCAATTTCCATAATGCCTTCTCCAGTCACTGGTTTGTGATTCTTTTTCATAAACAAGCTCTTATAATTGTTGCTTGATTCTCATTTTTCCTGGTCTGTTGAATTTTTGCAGGAGTGCCACACTAATTTAAATGACTTTGGTTTTATAATGTGAATATATACCTGGTAGGGACAAATATATTCTCATCACCCTTCTTTTTCAAAGTCCCCTTTGTGTGTGTGCGCACATGTGCGCGTGTGTGTGTGTGTTTTGGGGATCTGGAATTGACAAATTAGAATTAGGTAATATCCACCTAATATATATAAAGACAACAGAAAGACATTCTTAAGAATTTTTGAAAGATAGTATTCCATTGTATAATGAACATTAATTTTCCTTTAAAACATAGATAATACATTAATGTGGCTGTAAATACAAAAGATACAGAGGTTGTAAGGTGTAAGTCTCCCTCTCACTTCTCTCACCTATCCAGTACCTATCTCTGGAGGCAGCCATTTTTTTCTGGTGTCTAATGAATTCTTTCAAAGCATTTTTAATACATGCACAAGCAAATAGATATGCATATCCTTTTTGGTTTTTAAAAATAAAAATAGTAGCATATTCCATACACAGCTCTGTGTATAATACTTTAACAGATGAGGTTTTTCAACATTTTTTTGTGACTTTGCCACTGGAAAGATTTCCCTTCACCATTGTTAAGGCTATCCTTGAGTGGGGCTGAGGTACAGCAGCAGTATGATTTTGGCTCCAACATACTGCTACGAAGAAATCCATGGGCTTGCTGCCTGATACACATGGAGACCAATACTTTGGCACAAGCTTTCAAAAATAGAAAAAGCTTAATTACAAGTTGACTTGCAAGGAGACAGGAGGAAAGGTTCAAATCTGTCTCCCTGAGCTAGGGGCAGGGTTGGGTTTTATAAGCATAGGGCAATGAAGCATGATCTGATTGGATCTTGCAATAAGGTAGTGCTGGGAGGCATTATCTGATTGCATCCTGCCATGTAGGTGATGCCAGAGCTCAATTTGATTTGATCCTGGGTTATGACATGCAGTGTCTGCTTCTTAATTCAGTTTCTGCTGCTAGGTCTGAGCATTAGGTTCTCCCTATGGTTGCAGGCTTGGTTTATCTGGGCATACTCAGGTTACATGACCTGAGGGTCCATGGGAATTGAAAAATAACTCACAACCTTGTTACATAAAAATTGAACCAGATTTGTCTGGTGGTTGCAATATTGAGCCAACTCTTCTGTGACCCAGGCCTGTGTTTTCACTTCCTCTGTCAGCTGGTCACAGGAAGCTACTTGTAGGGCCATGGATACAAGTTTAGGAAGAGCCAAGAGTGCAGCAGAGCTAGGGAACATGGGAGTCTGGGCCACCTATTCATGAAATTTTAGCCCTCTGAATCAATCTCAAACATACCATTTCCCTCCTATGATGGACTGCTATAGTACCTATCCAATTTTATAACTTGGTTGATCTGACAATACTCAGTTCATGGGTGGGTGTGGCTATCTAGTCATTTGATGTTCCAGGTAGGTGTTCAGTGTCCACTAGGGCCTAGTAGTATATCAGAAGCTTCTTTTCAAAGGGTGACTAGTTATCTTCTCCAGAAATAATGTCCTTGCTCCAGAACCCATGTCTACTTCTTTTATAGGAAGGCATAAACGTGGCTAGAAAGAAGTAGGTTTGGGAAAGTGGGATGTTTGATCAGACTGCTGATGTTTTTTCCCAGCAATTTTATTCGCTTGGTGCAAAAGTTTTTACCATTACTTTTATTGTAAAAAGTGCAATTACTTTTGCACCAACATAATACCTTTTTTTTTTTTTTTTTTTTTTTTGAGACGGATCTCTGTCACCCAGGCTGGAGTGCATTGGCACGATCTGGGCTCACTGCAACCTCTGCCTCCCAGCTTCAAGCAATTCTCCTGCCTTAGCCTCCGAGTAGTTGGGATTACAGGCACCCACCACCATGCCTGGCTAATTTTTGTATTTTTAATAGAGATGGGGTTTCACCATGTTGGCCAGGCTGGTCTCAAATTCCTGACCTTGTGTTCTGCCTGCCTCGGCCTCCCAAAGTGCTGGGATTACAGGCATGAGCCACCACACCCTAGATTCTTAAGAGGATTATAGGATCACATAGCTCAGGTAAAGTTCAAAATTATCAAGGTATTATATTTATTTGGTTATTTTGAGTGTTTTGTAGTGAAAACATCTTTAGCATATCTCATATTCCATTTTACCACAAACCCCAGGAAGCCTAATGATTTTGTGTTTGAGTCATCTCTAGTTCAGCTCTGATGGGGAGGCTGAAGAACAAACACAGGCCAATTTAATTCTATCTTGTTTGCTTTCTCTGGGATTCAGTGTGATAGGACACCTAAGTCTTGCCCTCAACAAGTTCACTTTTGAGGGTACAGAGATGGTTGTTGCTAGCATTTTGGAGGAAGGCATTGTATGTCACTTCTGCATATAAGAGCTGGTTTCCCCTCTTGGTGCCTGGATAGAAAGCTGCACAAAAAGGCTTTATTATATGCTGTTCTAAATTAGGAGTTTAGGAGATAATAAAGGGAAAATCAGTTACATTAAAGCCTAGTAAAGGAGGCTGATCACAGAGCCCTTTTCTGATGTTCATCCTACTCTAATCCAGACACAAATGAGAGTGGCTTACTTTACCAAGATGTGATTGATTTCTTTGGTCAGGCTGAGTCTGCCATCCCCATCTTCTCCTGCAGTGCTTAGTGCCCCTCATTCTGCTTCCTTCAGTGTGTTCTCCCTATCGATGTGAGGAAGAAGGTATAAGTCATGGGTATAATTCTCTACAAGGTAATTGAACAGATTATGCATTGGTTATGATTATGAATTGCTGTTGCTCCAAATTTTTACTTAACATTTAATCTGACAGGTCACACTACTTCAACATGGTTCTTCCTTACATAGGACACAGGGATTCAGTCTCCTACAGAATGTTCTTAGATATAGTTGATAAGTGAGGTTTTAAAAGTGATTAATCTGGAGCTGTAAGGCAAGCTCTGATTATAATTACTTTTCTTTCTTTTTTTGTTCCAGTTTTCCACTTTCCTAAGAAGAAGAAATGGCCAAATCCCAGGTAAGTCCTTCCTCCCTCCATGCTGAAATGCCATGTAATTTGTCAGAGGTGGGGTTAGTGGGGTGCAATTTGAAAGAAGACATACTGTGATATGTCAAGATTTATAGCAGAAGAACAACTGACTGGTTACTAGAGACTACAATGGATGTTATTACTTTGGTGAGTGCTTTATCATCTACCTGCATCTTTGCATTTTCAGAAACTTGACTGTGACTAGTTTCTCTGAGTTAATAAGCTGCAGGGCAACTGGCTCATTCTAAACAAATTCTTGAAAAGATAACAAAAGATAGATATACATACCAGATGCCTATGTGTGGATTTCTTTTTCTTTCTTTTGCTTTTTTCTTTTTTCAACTTTTATCTTACAGTCGGGGATACATGTGCAAGTTTGTTACAAATGTATGTTACATGATACTGAAGTTTGGAGCACAAATTAATGTGTCATCCAGTTAGTGAGTATAGTACCCAAAGGTAGTTTATTTCAGCTCTTCCCCACTGCTTTCCTCCCACCTCTTGTATTCCCCAGTGTCTATTTTTCCCATTTTTATGATCATGTGTACCCAATGTTTAGCTCCGTGGTATAAATGAGAACCAGTGGTATTTGGTTTTCTGTTTCTGTGTTATTTTGCTTAGGTAATGGTTTCCGGCTGTATCATGTTGCTGCGAAAGACATAATATCATTCGTTTTTATGGCTTCATAGTATTCCTTGGAATATATGTACCACATTTTCTTTACGCAATCCACCATTGATGGTCACCATGTCTTTGCTATTGTGAATAGTTCTGCAATGAACATATGGGTGCATGTGTCGTTTTGATAAAATGATTTATTTTCTTTTGTGTATGTACCCAGAAGTCATTGCTGGGTCAAATGGTAGTTCAACCCTCAGTTATTTGAGAAATCTCCAAACTGCTCTCCACGGTTGGCTGAACTAGTTTACATCCCCAAAAACAATGTATAAGTATTCCCTTTTCTCTGCAGGGAAACAGAGAAACAGATGCTGCCTCACCAACATCTGTTTTTGTTTTTGTTTTTGTTTTTGACTTTTTAACAAAAGTCATTTTGCCTGGTGTGAGATGGTATCCCATTGGGGTTTTGATTTGCATTTTTCTGTTAGTGATGATGAGCATTTTTTCATATATTTGTTGACTGCTTGTATATCTTCTTTTGAAAAGTGTCTGTTCATGTCCTTTGCTCATTTTTAATGGGGTTTTTGTTTGTTGATTTAAGTTCCTTGTAGATTCTGGATATTAGACGTTTGTTGGATGCATAGTTTACAAATACTTTCTACCATTCTCTAGGTTGTCTGTTTACTCCTTTGATGATCTCTTTTGCTGTGCAGAAGCTCTTTAATTAGGTTCCACTTGTCAGTTTTTGGTTTGTTGCAAGAGGACTTAGCCATAAATTATTTCCCAAGGCCAATATCAAGAAGGGTGTTTCCTAGGTTTTCATCTAGGATTTTTGTAGTTTGAGGCTTTATATTTCAGTCTTTAATACATCTTGAGTTAGTTTTGGTTTATGGTGTTAGGTAGGGATCTAGTTTCATTTTTTTGCATATGACTAGCCAGTTATCCCAGCATCATTTATTGAATAGGGAGTTTTTTCACCATTGCTTATTGTTGTTGATTTTGTCAAAGATAAGATGGTTGTGGGCATGTGGCTTTATTTCTGGATTCTCTATTCTGTTGTATTGGTCTATGTGTCTGTTTTTATACCAGAATCATGCTATTTTGGTTACTGTAGCATTGTAGTATATAGTTTGAAGTTGGGTAATGTGATGCCTCTGGCTTTGTTCTTTTTTACTTAGGATTGCTTTGGATATTCGAGATCTTTTTTGGTTCCATTAATTTCAGAATAGTTTTTTCTAATTCTGTGAAAAATTATGTTGATAGTTTAATAGGAATAGTGTTGAATTGTGAATTGCTTTGGGCAGTATGGCCATTTAAATAATATTGATTCTTCCAATACATGAGCATGGGACCTTTTTTCTTTTTGTGTCATCTTTGATTTAACAGTGTTTTGTAATTCTCCTTGTAGAGATTCTTCACCTCCTTGGCTCTCTGTATTCTTAGGTATTTTATTCTTTTTGAGGCTACTGTAAATAGGATTGCATTCTTGATTTGGCTCTCAGCTTAAATGTTATTGGTATATAGAAATGCTACTGATTTCTGTACATTGATTTTGTATCCTGAAACTTTCCTGAAATTGTTTATAAGCTCTAGGAGCATTTTTGCAGAGTCTTTAGTGTTTTCTAAGTATAGAATCATATCATCAGTGAAGATAAATAGCTTGACTTCTTTTCCTATTTGGATGCATTTCTTTCTCTTACCTGATTGTTTCAGCTAGGACTTCCACTACTAAGGTGAATAGGAGTGGTGAGCGTGGCCATCTTTGTCTTGTTCTAGTTTTCATGGGGAATGGTTCTAGATTTTGCCTGTTTAGTACAATGTTGGCTGTGGGTTTGTCATAGATGGCTCTAATTATTTTGAGGTATGCTCCTTAGGTGTCTATTGTGTTGGGGCTTTTTATCATGAAGGGACATTGGACGTTATCAAAAGCTTTTTATGTAAATATTGAGATTAGTTTTTTTCCTTTTAATTATGTTTTTGTGATGAATCACATTTATTGACTTGCATTTGTTGAATCAATCTTGCATTCCAGGAATAAAGCCTACTTCATCATCGTGAATTATCTTTTTGGTGTGCTGCTGGATTTGGTTTGTTAGTATTTTGTTGAGAATTGGTGTGTCTATGTTCATCAGGGACATTGGTCTGAAGTTTTCTTTTCTCATTGTGTCTTTGCCAGTTTTGGTCTCAGGGTGATGCTGCCTTTAGAGAATGAGTTATAGAGGAGCCCCCCTCCTCAATTTTTTGGAATGGTTTCAGTAGGATTGATACTATGTCTTCTTTGTATATCTGGTGGAATTCGGCTGTGAATCCATCGTGACCAGTGCAGTTTTTTGGTTGGTAGGGTTTTTATTACTGATTCAATTTTGGAACCTATTACTGGTCTGTTCTCTTTTTAACTATTTTTTATTTCTATAAGAGAAATGTAAAAGATTGTGAAAACCCAATTTAATCTTACTATCTGGATAAAATGGCTTCTAAAAAGTTAGTTTATGTAATTTTCCCCTCTTTGTGCAGGTAGCAACATACCAATTTATATCTTAGTTTTCAAACTATGGAATCATACCATATACAATAAATTTCACCTCCCTTTTTTCTCATAAAAGTAAATCATGGGCAGATTGTCAGTAAATTTAGGTTTATCACATATTTCAGTATATGCACAATATGACTTAGTCTTTTACTGATAAATATTTGACCTAATTCCATATTATTACAACCAACGCTGTGACAAGTATCTTCATGCATACATTTTCGTGTGCATTTGTGAATTTTCTTTGTAAAAATAAGTTTCTAGAAACAGAATAGCTAAATGAGGTGATATACACATTTCAAATGTTAAGGGACAGCTGGGCGTGGTGGCTCACGCCTGTCATCCCAGCACTTTAGGAGGCTGAGGTGGGCGGATCACTTGAGGTCAGGAGTTCAAGACCAGCCTGGCCAACATGGTGAAACCCCATTTCTACTAGAAACACAAAAAATTAGCTAGGCATGGTGGTGGGTGCCTCTAATCCCAGCTACTCAGGAGGCTGAGGCAGGAGAATCACTTGAACCCAGAGGTGGAGGTTGCAGTGAGCCGAGACTGCATCATTATACTCCAGCCTGGGCAACAAGAGGGAAACTCCATCTGAAAAAAAAAAAAATTTAAGGGACATTGTCAAATTATCTTCCTGAAATATTTTACCACTTCATACCCCCAAAGATAGCGTTTGAGAGTATGTTAATTTTTATATCCTTTACCAATACTGAGTACTATCATGTTTTAGGCGTTTAGTCTCATAAGAGAAAAAATACTGTATTGGTGTTAAACTTTATAATTCTTTAAATATTAGATAAGCCTATCACCTTTATATGGATTTATCATTCATTTGGACTTTTCCTGTAGAATTTTGGATTATATTCTTTGCCAGATTTCTACTTGATGCTTTGTCTTTTCCTTGTTTTTATCAGCTTTTTATGTTAGAGATATTAGCACTTCCTTTGCCATATGTAATGAAACTATTTCTCCCAGTTTATTTTTGGTTTTATTCGTATTTTCTAATATATACAAACTTTAACAAGTTTAAAACAATGTCTCTGAGTTTGCTATTTCCACTTCATAATATTTTTAACAAGATATATCTATGTTCTAGTTTTTAAAAATTATTTTAGTTCTCATATTTAAAACTTTGATACATTTGGAATTTATATTCTTATAAAAAGTAAACTTTTTGATGTGCTGCTGGATTCGGTTTGCCAGTATTTTATTGAGGATTTTTGCATCAATGTTCATCAAGGATATTGGTTCAAAATTCTCTTTTTTGCTTGTGTCTCTGCCAGGCTTTGGTATCAAGATGATGCTGGCCTCATAAAATGAGTTAGGGAGGATTCCCTCTTTTTCTGTTGATTGGAATAGTTTCAGAAGGAATGGTACCAGTTCCTCCTTGTACCTCTGGTAGAATTCAGCTGTGAATCCATCTGGTCCTGGACTCTTTTTGGTTGGTAAGCTATTGATTATTGCCACAATTTCAGAGCCTGTTATTGGTCTATTCAGAGAGTCAACTTCTTCCTGATTTAGTCTTGGGAGGGTGTATGTGTCGAGGAGTTTATCCATTTCTTCTAGATTTTCTAGTTTATTTGCGTGGAGGTGTTTGTAGTATTCTCTGATGGTAGTTTGTATTTCTGTGGAATCGGTGGTGATATCCCCTTTATCATTTTTTATTGCATCTATTTGATTCTTCTCTCTTTTCTTCTTTATTAGTCTTGCTAGTGGTCTATCAATTTTGTTGATCCTTTCAAAAAACCAGCTCCTGGATTCACTAATTTTTTGAAGGGTTTTTTGTGTCTCTATTTCCTTCAGTTCTGCTCTGATTTTAGTTATTTCTTGCCTTCTGCTAGCTTTTGAATGTGTTTGTTCTTGCTTTTCTAGTTCTTTTAATTGTGATGTTAGGGTGTCAATTTTGGATCTTTCCTGCTTTCTCTTGTGGGCATTTAGTGCTATAAGTTTCCCTCTACACACTGCTTTGAATGTGTCCCAGAGATTCTGGTATGTTGTGTCTTTGTTCTCGTTGGTTTCAAAGAACATCTTTATTTCTGCCTTCATTTCGTTATGTACCCAGTAGTCATTCAGGAGCAAGTTGTTCAGTTTCCATGTAGTTGAGTGGTTTTGAGTGAGTTTCTTAATCCTGAGTTCTAGTTTGATTGCATTGTGGTCTGAGAGACAGTTTGTTATAATTTCTGATCTTTTAGATTTGCTGAGGAGAGCTTTACTTCCAAGTATGTGGTCAATTTTGGAATAGGTGTGGTGTGGTGCTGAAAAAAATGTACATTCTGTTGATTTGGGGTGGAGAGTTCTGTAGATGTCTATTAGGTCTGCTTGGTGCAGAGCTGAGTTCAATTCCTGGGTATCCTTGTTAACTTTCTGTCTCGTTGATCTGTCTAATGTTGATAGTGGGGTGTTAAAGTCTCCCATTATTATTGTGTGGGAGTCTAAGTCTCTTTGTAGGTCACTCAGGACTTGCTTTATGAATCTGGGTGCTCCTGTATTGGGTGCATATATCATGAAAATGGCCATACTGCCCCGGGTAATTTATAGACTCAATGCCATCCCCATCAAGCTACCAATGACTTTCTTCACAGAATTGGAAAAAACTACTTTAAAGTTCATATGGAACCAAAAAAGAGCCCACATCGCCAAGTCAATCCTAAGCCAAAAGAACAAAGCTGGAGGCATCATGCTACCTGACTTCAAACTATACTACAAGGCTACAATAACCAAAACAGCATGGTACTGGTACCAAACCAGAGATATCGATCAATGGAACACAACAGAGCCCCCAGAAATAATGCCGCATATCTACAACTATCTGATCTTTGACAAACCTGAGAAAAACAAGCAATAGGGAAAGGATTCCCCATTTAATAAATGGTGCTGGGAAAACTGGCTAGCCATATGTAGAAAGCTGAAACTGGATCCCTTCCTTACACCTTATACAAAAATTAATTCAAGATGGATTAAAGACTTAAACGTTAGACCTAAAACCATAAAAACCCTGAAGAAAACCTAGGCATTACCATTCAAGACATAGGCATGGGCAAGGACTTCATGTCTAAAACACCAAAAGCAATGGCAACAAAAGCCAAAGTTGACAAATGGGATCTAATTAAACTAAAGAGCTTCTGCACAGCAAAAGAAACTACCATCAGAGTGAACAGGCAACCTACAAAATGGGAGAAAATTTTCACAACCTACTCATCTGACAAAAGGCTGATATCCAGAATCTAAAATGAACTCAAACAAATTTACAAGAAGAAACAAACAACCCCATCAAAAAGTGGGCGAAGGATATGAACAGACACTTCTCAAAAGAAGACATTCATGCAGCCAAAAAACACATGAAAAAATGCTCACCATCACTGGCCATCAGAGAAATGCAAATCAAAACCACAATGAGATACCATCTCACACCAGTTAGAATGGCAATCATTAAAAAGTCAGGAAACAACAGGTGCTGGAGAGGATGTGGAGAAATAGGAACACTTTTACACTGTTGGTGGGACTGTAAACTAGTTCAACCATTGTGGAAGTCAGTGTGGTGATTCCTCAGGGATCTAGAACTAGAAATACCATTTGACCCAGCCATCCCATTACTGGGTATATACCCAAAGGACTATAAATCATGCTGCTATAAAGACACATGCACATGTATGTTTATTGTGGCACTATTCACAACAGCAAAGACTTGGAACCAACCCAAATGTCCAACAATGATAGACTGGATTAAGAAAATGTGGCACATATACACCATGGAATACTATGCAGCCATAAGAAATGATGAGTTCATGTCCTTTGTAGGGACATGGATGAAATTGGAAATCATCATTTTCAGTAAACTATCACAAGAACAAAAAACCAAACACTGCATATTCTCACTCATAGGTGGGAAATGAACAATGAGAACACATGGACACAGGAAGGGGAACATCACACTCTGGGGACTGTTGTGGGGTGGGGGGAGGGGGGAGGGATAGCTTTAGGAGATATACCTAATGCTAAATGACGAGTTAATGGGTGCAGCACACCAGCATGGCACATGTATACATATGTAACTAACCTGCACAATGTGCACATGTACCCTAAAACTTAAAGTATAATAATAATAATAATAAAAAGTAAACTAAGATCAGTTTAATTTCATTTTTCAAATGACTGGCTGATTTTTATTACTTAATACTCAAGAACAAAAAGGAAAACTGCAACTATTTGTACACTTAGTTTATTAAACTGTTTAATAATTCAAACATTGAAAACGGATTTTTCTAGAGCACTGACTTATTAAAACTTTGAAGTATTTTAAACGATTGCAACTGAATTTAGTATTGTAGACTTTTGAATCACTTCCAAACCATTAAATATCAAACTGATATTTATGATTACAGAACATTGCTATAGTTACATCTAAACCTGTTCTAAAATGACATATGTTTAATTCATTTATTATTTTAATTTTTATATAATTTTTGTAGCAAAATAAGCTGTATTTTTAATTTTTATTGGAGTTTTAGTATTATTTTGATTTCTTCCAATGACTGCAGTAATTTTAACAAACACAAAAGGCATACATACATAGCTTCTGGGATTTGTTAACTGATTGATTGTTGACAAAGGAACTTAATGCTTCTTCCAAAATAATATGATCCTGAACCACCGATCATTGGGCTGAACCTCATTTTTAGCGTTTAAATTTTGTTGTGTGTTGCACGCATGTGCATGTGTACTTGTTGCTTTTTAATGTTAACAATTGACAATTTTCTAGGTTATGTTTCAGGAAGTTGGTTGAAAAACAAAATAAAATAAATAAGCTTTTAAAAAATATTTTACATCTGTAAGTCTATCACGTTTATAGCTGTCACGTAGGTTTTATTTTCTTGCCCCCATCCCCAGTCCTCTCAGCAATATATTTTAAAATTATTTTCTTAGTCAATACTTTATAAGTCATTACGTCATTTTGACTTAGTCTGTTAATAACATTTAAAAGCAACAAAAATTTTTATTAGTATTTTATTATAATTAATAGAACTACCTGTTAGGAGATGAAGAATCAATTCGGCCAAGTTACTTCTCCTCCTTAGGACATTTAAACATGCTACTTAACCTCCTTCTTCTACTTGGATGTTATGTGGAAATCACAGCACTGATTACTCATTACTGTTCCTAAAATAGTTCCTCCTTTTAATTGGACTATTTGGCTTATTCACAGTATTTGTCTTTCCTGCTTACACAGACAGAAAGAGCAAGTACTTATAAACAGATATAAGTAACAGAAAAAACGCAGTGTCCATATAGAGAAACTTTTCTTTTAAATGCTTAAAAATCAAGTTATTATAAATCTATGGTTTTTCACAGACTCAGCTTGTTCTAATATACCACAATCATTATTATTATTACTGTGTTATTCAATAAGCAAATTGTAAAATTTGCTAGCAGAAGTCCCTCTAGATTTATTCCTTTATCCTTTCAACATTGTCCCTGATATTCTTGGAAACCGTATTGCTACTATGTCACTCAGAGTACAGTATCATAGAGTTGGACAAAGAAAGGTGGACTGGGGGTGAGAGACAATAAATTGGTAATTGGCACATATATCCCTATGTTGTACTGATCCAAAATTTGTATTCCATTACATGGCAAGGTGTGCTTGTTCCTTTTGGTGGATAAGAGCTTTAAAACAGCATAAAATTTAGGCAATGGGGGACACGGTAATTTTATTATAATAGTGAGCAGAAGTGCTGCTGTTAGGCAGCAACTCTATCTTAGCAGTGATAGAGCTGGAAAACATACTTCAATTTTATGAGTTTACATTTCTCATTTTTGTTCATCTTATAATTCAACTAATTCCAATTAATGTTTTAAAATTAAGTATATAGGTGGATTATATTAACCACATTTCCAACATTTTATTATGAACATTTTCAAGCATAAAGTTGAAAGAATATTACAGTGAATACATTTTTTTTTTTGGTAGAGATGGAGCCTTGCTATGTTGCCCAGGCTAGTCTTGAACTCCTGACTTCAAGTGGTCCTCCTGCATCAGCTTCCCAAAGCACTGGAATAACAGCTGTGAGCCACTACACCTGTCCTTCTATTCACCTTCTACCATATTGGATATATCATACCTGTCCATCTACTTTTCTGTCATCCATCAATCCATATTTTTCAATCATTTCAAGTGAAACTAGAGACATCAGTATGCTGTCTCCTACATATCGCAGCACACATATTAATCAGAGTTCAGTATTTGTTTTCAACTCGGCTCCTAAATGTATATTCACTGAGCTTTGTCAAATGCCCTTTTCTAATCAGTCGCCAACACCATCCACCAGAGGTAATCTCTGTTCTAAATGTTTCCCACCATAGATCAGTTTTGCCTGTTCAAGAACTTCATATAAATGAAACCATAGATTATTTTCTCTTCTAAGGCTTCATTCAATCAGTGTATTTTTCACATTTATTCATCCATGTTGCATGTATAGGGGCACATTCCTTTTTATTGCTGAGTGTTATTTTTATGAATATATCATTGTAAATTTATCCATTCTCCTACTGATGAACACTTGGGTTCACTAACTGAACACTGTTTTACCTACATTCGACATTTCATATCAATGGGAGATAACATTACTTTTGAATCAGTTTCTGAGTAGTAAATGCTTAGTAATGTTAGTTAGAAAAAAGAGGCATTACACTGATGGGATTGAAATTCACCAACAGAGTGAGCTATTGCCTTTTCCCGGATTTGAGTCTCTGATCTTTATAGTTTCCTTTTGCTGTGACTTAGATGTGTCCCTCAAAGTTCATGTTTTGGAAACTTAAAACTCAGTGCAACAGTGTTGAGTATATATATTTCAATTTTATGAGTGATTAGGTCATTAGGGCTCTGCCCTCATGAATGAGTTAATGTTATCTTGGGAGTGGGTTTGTTGTCACAAGAGTGTATTCATTATCACAAAATATCACAGACTGGATGGCATATACAACAGAAATTTATTTCCTCACAATTGTGGAAGCTAAAATTCCAAGATCCAGGTGTCAGCAGGTTTGGTTTTCTTCTGAGGCCTCCATCTGTCTTCACATGTTCCTTCTGTATTTGCATGCATACCTAGGTCTCTCTGTGGGTCCAAATCTCCTCTTCTTACAAGGATACCAGACAGATTGGATTATGGCCCACTCTAATAGTCTCATTTTAACTTAATCATCTCTTTAAAGGCCCTATCTCCAAATATAATAGTTTCTCCTTATCCACAGGGGATGCATTCCAACACCCCCAGTGGATACCTGAAACCTCGGATAGTACAGAGCCTTATATACATCTATATTTTAAAAAATCTAATAACCAAGGTAACTGCTAAGTGACTAACAGTCAGGTAGAGTATATAGTACAGATATGCTGGACAAAGGGATCATTCACATCCTGTGCTGGACTGGGTGGGACAGAGCAGGAGAGCAAAATTTCATCACACTACTCAGAATGGCTCACAATTTAAAACTTATGATTTCTGGAATTTTCCATTTAATATTTTCAGACTGTGGTTGGCCACACAGAAAGTGAAACCATGGAAAAGGGGGGACTACTGTGCAGTCACATTTGAGGTATTTGGAATTAGGACTTCAACACATGAATTTTGGAGGACACAATTCAGTCCCTATCAACTTCACACAGAAGAGAAGGCGATACAACCACAAAGACAGAGATTGAAGTGATGTAGCCACAAGCCCAGGAATGCCAGCTAGAGAAGGTGAAGAACAGATTCTCCCCAGACCTTCTAGAGACAGCACGATGCTGCCAACATCTTGACTTTTTGCTCATTGAAACTGATTTCAGACGTCTGATATCAGAACATAAAGATGAGTTGTTTTAAGCCATTAAGTTTGTGGTAATTTGCTATAGCAGCCACAGGAAACTTATAGAAGAAACAGAAAACATATACATGTGTATTTCTCTCCACAAACAAGATACTGATTTTTCAAGTCAATTGTAATCACTCAGCTAGAGCATGGGGAAGAGTGGTGACTAGTGGAGAATAAAATAATCTGTAAGTTACCTCTCCAGGTGAGAACCAAAAAGCATTTGCTAGTCAGAGAGGAAGCAATTTCTTCTTAAATGGAATTATTAAATAAAACAACAACAAAAACTCCTCCAAGTTTCCTTTGTCTGAGGACAAGACTAAAGTCAGTTAAGTTCCCTCAATACTGCAACATCATTTTCACATATTTTCTATATATTCATTAGCTGATACGATCTTCTGGACTCAATGTAGGCGCTTCTTCATCAATTAAACACTGCCAGTTCTCTGGATTTATTCTCAGGTAACCTCTACTGTGCCCTTATTTTCATCATAAGATATTATTTTTAGCATCCTTGGTCTCTGTGTCAACATTTCATATTTTAAGACATTAATTGGACTTTTTGGAAAATAAATCAATTTTATGATACTCAGGCCACTTTTACTGAGATTTGTTTTGTTTTTCCTTTTAAGAAATAATTCCTTTTAAGGAGCTCAAACAACTCTATAGGAAAAAATCTAATAATCCAGTCAAAAACTCGGCAAATGATTTGAATAAACATTTATCAGAAGATGACATACAAATGGCAAACAGGCACATGAAAAGGTGCTCAACATCATTGATCAGAGAAATGCAAATCAAAACTACAATGACATATCATTTCACCCCAGTTAAAACAGCTTATACCCAAAGGACAGGCATAGCATTTGGTGAGGATTTAGAGAAAAGGGAACCCTTGTATACTGTTGATGGGAATGTAAATTAGTACAGCCACTATGAAGAACAGTTTGGAGGTTTCTCAAAAAACTAAAAATAGAGCTATCATCTGATCCAGCAATCCTACTGTTGGATATGTATCCAAAAGAAGGAAATCAGTATATCAAAGAAATATCTGCACTTTCGTGCTTGTTGCAGCACTGTTCACAACAGCTAAGATTTGGAATCAGCCTAAGTGTCCATCAGCAGAGGAACGGATAAAGAAAATGTGGTACATATATACAATGGCGTAATATTCAGCCATAAAAAAGAATGAGATCCAGTCATTTGCAACAATGTGGATAGAACCGGAGATCTAAGACAGAAAGACGAACATCACATGTTCCCACTTATTTGTGGGACCTAAAGGTTAAAACAATTGAACTCACGGACGTAGAGAATAGAAGAATGGTTATCAGAGGCTGGAAAGGGTAGTTAGGGGCTGGGAGGCTGGTGGGGATGGTTAATGGGAACAAAAAAAAAATAGAATAATATGACCTACTATTGGATAGCACAATGGGACTGTAGTCAGTAATTGTACATTTAAAAATAACTAAGTGTGTAACTGGATCATAACAAAAAGGATAAATGCTTGAGGGGATGGATACCCTACTCTCCATGATGTGATTTTACATTGCATGCCTCTATCAAAATATCTCATGTACCCCATAAATATATACACCTACTATGTACCCACAAAAATTATCAAGTGGGCTTCATCCCTGGGAAGCAAGGCTGGTTCAACATATGCAAATCAATAAACGTAATCCAGCATATGAACAGAACCAAAGACAAAAAACCACATGATTATCTCAATAGATGCAGAAAAGGCCTTTGACAAAATTCAACAGCGCTTCATGCTAAAAACTCTCAATAAATTAGGTATTGATGGGATGTATCTCAAAATAATAAGAGCTATTTATGACAAACCCACAGCCAATAAAATACTGAATGGACAAAAACTTAAAGCATTCCCTTTGAAAACTGGCACAAGACAGGGATGCCCTCTCTCACCACTCCTATTCAACATAGTGTTGGAAGTTCCGGCCAGGGCAATCAGGCAGGAGAAAGAAATAAAGGGCATTCAATTAGGAAAAGAGGAAGTCAAATTGTCCCTGTTTGCAGATGACATGATTGTATATCTAGAAAACCCCATCGTCTCAGCCCAAAATCTCCTTAAGCTGATAAGCAACTTCAGCAAAGTCTCAGGATACAAAATCAATGTGCAAAAATCACAAGCATTCTTATACATCAATAACAGACAAACAGAGAGCCAAATCATGAGTGAACTCCCATTCACAATTGCTTCAAAGAGAATAAAATACCTAGGAATCCAACTTACAAGGGATGTGAAGGACCTCTTCAAGAACTACAAACCACTGCTCAATGAAATAAAAGAGGATACAAACAAATGGAAAAACATTCCATGCTCATGGATAGGAAGAATCAATATCATGAAAATGGCCATACTGCCCAAGGTAATTTATAGATTCAATGCCATCCCTATCAAGCTACCAATGACTTTCTTCCCAGAATTGGAAAAAACTACTTTAAAGTTCATATGGAACCAAAAAAGAGCCCACATGGCCAAGTCAATCCTAAGCCAAAAGAACAAAGCTGGAGGCATCACGCTACCTGACTTCAAACTATACTACAAGGCAACAGTAACCAAAACAGCATGGTACTGGTACCAAAACAGGGATATAGACCAATGGAACAGAACAGAGCCCTCAGAAATAATACCACACATCTACAACCATCTGATCTTTGACAAACCTGACAAAAACAAGAAATGGGGAAAGGATTCCCTATTTAAGAAATGGTGCTGGGAAAACTGGCTAGCCATATGTAGAAAGCTGAAACTGGATCCCTTCCTTACACCTTATACAAAAATTAATTCAAGATAGATTAAAGACTTAAATATTAGACCTAAAACCATAAAAACCCTAGAAGAAAACCTAGGCAGTACCATTCAGTACATAGAAATGGGCAAGGACTTCATGTCTAAAACACCAAAAGCAATAGCAACAAAAGCCAAAATTGACAAATGGGATCTAATTTAAACTAAAGAGCTTCTGCACAGCTAAAGAAACTACCATCAGAGTCAACAGGCAACCTACAGAATGGGAAAAAGTTTTTGTAATCTACTCATCTGACAAAGGGCTAATATCCAGAATCCACAAAGAACTCAAACAAGTTTACAAGGTTAAAACAACCCCATCAACAAGTGGGTGAAGGATATGAACAGACACTTCTCAAAAGAAGACATTTATGCAGCCAACAGACACAGGAAAAAATGCTCATCATCACTGGCCATCAGAGAAATGCAAATCAAAACCACAATGAGATACCATCTCACACCAGTTAGAATGGCGATCATTAAAAAGTCAGGAAACAACAGGTGCTGGACAGGTTGTGGAGAAATAGGAAGACTTTTACACTGGTGGTGGGACTGTAAACTAGTTCAACCATTGTGGAAGACAGTGTGGCAATTCCTCAGGGATCTAGAACTAGAAATACCATTTGACCCAGCCATCCCATTACTGGGTATATACCCAAAGGATTATAAATCATGCTGCTATAAAGACACATGCACACGTATGTTTATTGTGGCACTATTCACAATAGCAAAGACTTGGAACCAATCCAAATGCCCATCAATGATAGACTGGATTAAGAAAATGTGGCACATATACACCATGGAATACTATGCAGCCATAAAAAATGATGAGTTCATGTCCTTTGTAGGGACATGGATGAAGCTGGAAACCATCATTCTGAGCAAACTATTGCAAGGACAGAAAACCAAACACTGCATGTTCTCACTCATAGGTGGGAATTGAGCAATGAGAACACTTGGAGACAGGAAGGGGGACATCACACACCGGGGCCTGTTGTGGGGTGGGAGGGAAAGCATTATGAGATATACTTAATGTAAATGACGAGTTAATGGGTACAGCACACCAACATGGCACATGTATACACATGTAACAAACCTGCACGTTTTGCACATGTACCCTAGAACTTAAAGTATAATAAAAAAAATTAAAAAAATCCTTTCAATGCTAAGGGCTATTTTATGACATTGGAAATGCACAGTCTGAATTTCTCGACAGATCAGCTCTTTCTAGTCTCTTGAGCCCTACAATTATAGTTCACACTATTGTAATACTGTCTTGATAATCATTTTATAGGAAAATACAATGTAATTATTTCAGTTTCATCTCTGTCAAAATTTCTTTGGCATTTGCCAGGGAAGATTTCTGCTTTCCTTGAAATTCCACCTTCCATTGATTTATATAAGAGTTTTGGTATTTATGAAAGTAAAAGATCTTCCACTCTAATTTAAAATCCATTTATTAAAATCACTCGTGAATTTTACTTGCAAAAATCTCTTGCAAGGAGAAAAGCTTAAAGATACATTCCCAATTTAGTAGGAGAGTTTACAGTATTTGTAGTTATTCAATAGTTATTAAGTTAAATATAAAAAACAATCTGTGAATTTATAGGAAGTAAACTGCTACAATATTGGTTAAAAAAAAAAAAAAGTCTCCTAGGATAAACTTAGTCTAACGGGGGCTGATGAATTATGTGGGCCAAATTTGGCCTGTCACCTGTTTTTGTAAATAAAGTCTTATTTTAACAGTCATACCCATTCATTATGTATTGTTTATGGCTGCTTTTGTAAAAAATTGAGTAGTTTTGACAAAGAGTGACTATATAACCTATAAAGTCTAAAATATTTACTATCTCATTCTCCACAAAGAAAACAAAAGGTTACTGATGCCTGGTCTTTAATTTTAAATTTACAAATATAATTATCTCACTCAAACATTTAATGTAGTTTCCCAGATAATAGTAGGCAGTCTCAAGGTTCTAGATGAGTAGTCTTGGGAAGACAACTATTAAAACACATCTCTGAGTAGTACAGGGAAAAAAAATTTCCTTTAGTAAATAGACTTGGCAAAAACAACCTTACAGTGCCAATATGTAGTTTAAAAATGACTTTAATTTAAAATTTGTTAGCTATTCTGTAAGTACTCTATAACATTTTCCAGTTTATTCCTAAGAGACAATGGCTAACCCTGCTTTATGTACTCAAAAACACCTTTATCAATATTCTCTTCCCAGCTTGAGTTCTTGCTAAATGTTGTTTTAACTTTATGTCTATGGTTTCGATGATAAATTTTAACTAAGGCTGAATCAGAATGTGTGAACTTATAGTATCATTCCATATATTTCTTCCTAACAATTTTCTATGTCTCTAATTCCTATTTCTTGGCTTCTCCTCTTAAAGAAAAATCTAATAATTCTCACTTTTCTTCTCTACTCCTTTCTATGGATATGTACTCAAAGAACTCAAAGATTTTCATGTTTTAATCTATCCATTTTGTGTTTTCTCTATGATAGGCATTTATTAGTCAGCATTTATTGAGCATCTACTATCTTCCTGGCATTCTGATTGGTGATGGGATACAAAATAGTACAGAAAAATTTATTGCTGTCTTCAGGGAGATAGAGGAGAAGGCATTAACAAACTGCAATAAAAAGACTGTAATACAAGCTAGCCCAAAGAACTATGTAAATGCAAAGGAGCAACAACTCTGCCATGGAGGAAGAATAATCTCTCATAGAACGAGATATGATTAATTCACTGTTGACAGATGTGATGGAAAGGATTTAGATTATACTTACACATTTTTTAACATCTGCTATGTTCAGACACTGTGCTAGGCAATGAGGATTCAGGCAAGAATAAGAGACGATCCTTATTAGTTAAGGAGGCAGACTTCTCTAAGAAATACACTCAAATTTAATGATCCAAACTTAATCAAATTTGTTTTTTTTTTTTCATGTAACAGTCCAGGGCTAATATTTAAAGTTGGCTGAAGGGGTATTTCCTCCACATGACCCTTTAGGTTACTCTGGATGTCTGCACTCTGTCATCTGCAACACCTGGCTTTCAAGATTGCTCTGGTTATTGTTCTACCAATCACTTGCAAGGAAGAAGAGCATGATAAAGTTCCCCCACAGGGTTGTATGGGGCAGATCTGAAAGCTTCATTTATCATGTTTGGTGCACATTCCATTGTTTAGAACTATCACATGTATACATGTACCTGCAAGGAAGGATGTCTCGGAATATCTAGTTTTGTGCTCAGTAAGAAGCAGAGCATATGTTGTAGTAGGTATCTGCACACTGACACAGGTGAGATAGAGAGGGTAAGTTATTTTTAAAACTTTTCAGGATGGAAAATTTCAAAAATACACAAAAATACAGAGAACAGTATAATGAATGCCCACTTATTCATCACCAAGCTTCAAATAATGTCAATAATTTGTCATTCTTGTTTAAATTATCCCTTGTTTTTCTCTGTATTTTCAAGCAAATCCTAGGCATTACTTCGCCCGTAAACACTTTAGTGTGTACTGTTAATACACAAGGATTAAAAAATAACCAAAATACATTTTATCACCTAACAAAGTTAATAGCAGTAAATCCCAAATATTTTCTAACACTTAGTCCATGTTCAATTTTCCCCACTTGTTACAAGAATGTCTTTTCACAGATTTGTTCATATCAGGATCTAAAGAAGGGCAAAACATTGGACTTGGTTAATATGCCTCTTAAGTTGCTTGTCATCTATAACTTGTTCTCATGCATTTTGTTAAAGAAATTGGATCATTTTTTTCTGTACAAATTTTTACATTTTTATTTCACTGATTGCATTTTGTAGTGTTATCAGCATCTTGTATTATTCGTATTTCCATGTTTTTCTGCACTTGCAGACCTAGAAGCTTGAATAGATTGAGGTTTAATTGTTTTAACAAGAATATGTCATAGGGGGTGATATATATTTCAAAATACCAATGCTGGCCAGGCACAGTGGCTCACGCTTGTAATCCGAGCACTATGGGAGGCCCAGGCAGGCGGGTCACTTAAGGTCATGAGTTTGAGAACAGCCTGGCCAACATGGTGAAACCCCATCTCTACTAAAAATACAAAAAATTAGCCAGGCATGGTGGTGGGTGCCTGTAATCCCAGCTACCCAGGAGGCTGAGGCAGGAGAATTGCTTGTGCCCAGGAGGTGGAGACTGCAGTGAGCCAAGATTGCACCACTGAACTCCAGCCTGGGCAACAAAGCGAGAATCCGTCTCAAAAAATAAAAAATAACAGACTACCAATGCTAATATTAGTTATGAAAAGATGAGAGCCTTAGTATGTAGTTTAAAGCTCTTTGCAATTTTTTTTCTTAGGATATAATCCATCATGTTTAATAAGTATACTATATTTTAAATCTTGAGATAATTCTGTGCTTTTGCTACCAATATATAGTTGGGTTCATTTGTTTTAACTACATTTTTTTTTTAGCTATTTTCACTTTACTGATGCAATTATGTTTAATTAAACATTTATATGATTCCAAAGTCAAAATTTAAAATGGAGTACATTCAAGTTATTTGTACACATAGGTTGAAAATTTTCTTGTTTGCTTTTGGAAAAAAGTATTTTTTTTAGTAGAGCTTTTTTCTCTGTGGTGGCAATCATACCTCAGTAATCAGAGATTAAGATAATCAGGAAAAATGTGAGTTTTCTTAATTCCACAAGGAGTAGCTCAAATGTATATTTGGAGAAAATTTGATACAGGAAAGTAAACAGAAATTGCAATGGACTTAAAGTGACAATATGCTTGACATGTTCTTTCACAGCTTACAAGTTTATCCTTGGAAGCAAAGTCACTGTTACTGAGATTCTAATTGTCAATATGAGGGCTTTCTTTCTTTCTTAAAAGCATAAGGACATGGAATAAATTCACATTTTGGATTTCATTTAGAAATGGAAACCTGAATCAAATCCAGTGATTCAACACCAAAGTACCCAGTTTATTAGGAAGAATCAGCACATGGCATAATAATGGAAAGATATGGCCAGTGACTAATTCCCATGCAAAGAAATCATAGAATGTAATGAACAATCAGAGAGGCATTTGGAAAACCAGAAGCAGCTTGTTTTATTCAAGCCTTGTTTTATTAAAACATTTACCCAGGAAAAAGGGACATGAATTATAAGTAATTTAAATTTTTTTTTTTGAGATGGGGTCTCGCTCTGTTGCCCAGGCTGGAGTTCAATGGCATGCTCATGGCTCACTGCAGCCTCAACCTCCTGGGCTCAGGTGATCCTCCCACCTCAGCCTCCCTGGTAGCTGGGATTATGAGCATGTGACACCATGCCTGGCTAACTTTTGTGTTTTTTGTAAAGATGTGATTTTGCCCTTTAGCCCAGACTGGTTTTGAACTCCTGGGCTCAAGTGATCCACCCACCTTGGCTTCCCAAAGTGCTGGGATTACAGGTGTGAGCCACTGTGCCCAGGCTTAAATTTGATTTCAAACCTTGTTACATACCAGAGTGCCTGTTCAAAAAAAAAAAAAAGGCTCCATATATGTGAGCCACACAGAGAGCTTAAAGTGTAATTCAGAGCAATCAGGAGATGAAATGTATAATAAGATAGGACACAAACAAATGGAAAAATATTCCAAGTTCATGGATAGGAAGAACCAATATTGTGAAAATGGCCATACCGCCCAACGTAATTTATATATTCAGTGCTATCCCCATGAAGCTACCACTGACTTTCTTCACAGAATTAGAAAAAACTACTTTAAATTTCATATGGAACCACAAAAGAGCCCATATAGCCAGGACAATCCCAAGCAAAAAGAACAAAGCTGGAGGCATCAGGCTACCTGACTTCAAACTATACTACAAGGCTACAGTAATCAAAACAGCATGGTACTACTACCAAAACAGATATATAGACCAATGGAACAGAACAGAGACCTCAGAAATATCACCACACATCTACAACCATCTGATCTTTGACAAACCTGATAAAAACAAGTAATGGGGAAAGGATTCCCTATTTAATAAATGGTGTTGGGAAAAGTGGCTAGACATATGCAGAAAACTGAAACTAGACCCCTTCCTTACACCTTATACAAAAATTAACTCAAGATGGATTAAAGACAAACGTAAGACCTAAAACCATCACAACCTACAAGAAAACCTAGGCAATCCATTCAGGACATAGGCATGGCCAAAGACTTCAGGACTAAAACACCAAAAGCAATGGCAACAAAAGCCAAAATAGACAAATTGGGATCTAATTAAACTAAAGAGCTTCTGCACAGCAAAAGAAACTATCATCAGAGTGAACAGGCAACCTACAGAATGGAAGAAAATTTTTGTAATCTATTCACCTGAAAAAGGGCTAATATCCAGAATCTTCAAAGAACTTAAACAAATCCACAAGAAAAAAACAAACAAAAGGGTATCAACAGATGCCTCTCAAAATACGACATTTATGTGGCTAAAAAGCATATGAAAAAAAGCTCACCATCACTGGTCATTAGAGAAATGCAAATCAAAACCACAATGAGGTATCATCTCACACCAGTTAGAATGGCAATCATTAAAAAGTCAGGAAACAACAGATGCTGGAGAAGATGTGGAGAAATAGGAATGCTTTTGCACTGTTGGTGGGAGTGTAAATTAGTTCAACCATTGTGGAAGACAGTGTGGAGATTCCTCAAGGATCTAGAACCAGAAATACCATTTGACCAGCAATCCCATTACTGGGTACCCAAAGGATTATAAATCATTCTACTATAAATACACACATACATGTATGTTTATTGCAGCACTATTCACAATAGCAAAGACTTGGAACCAACCCAAATGCCCATCAATGATAGACTGGATAAAGAAAATGTGGCATATATACACCATGGAATACTATGCAGCCATAAAAAAGGATGAGTTTATGTCCTTTGCAGGGACATGGATGAAGCTGAAAACCATCATTCTCAGCAAACTAACACAAGGACAGAAAATCAAACACTGCATGTTCTCACTCATAAGTAGGAGGTGAACAAAGAGAACACATGGACACAGGGAGGGGAACATCATACACCAGGGCCTGTCGGTGGGTAGGGGAATCAGGGAGGGATAGCATTAGCAGAAATACCTAATGCAGATGACGAGTTGATGGATGCAGCAAACCACCATGGCACGTGTATACGTATGTAACAAACCTGCCTGTTCTGCACATGGATCCCAGAACTTAAAGTGTAATAAATAATAAAAGAAATGTCAACTTCCCATATACTTAAAAAAAAATAAGCATCTACCTTAAGAAACAAAAAAGTACACCCAAATCAAGCAGAAGGAACAAAATAATAAAAATGAAATTAAAAATAGAAAAATAATCAATGAAAATGATAAACCAGTAGCCAGACTAAGAGATAAATGGAGAATACAAGTTATGCTATCAGGAAAGAAGGGACTATAGATCCTATAGATATTAAAAGGAAAACAAGGTAATATTGTGAACAATTCTGTCCATAGAATATTATGCCTATAGATTCCACAACTTAGATGATATAAACATTTTTTTTTTCTTTCCAACTTTTATTTTTTATTTTAGTTTGGGGGGGATATGTACAGGTTTGTTACATGGGTAAATTGTGTGTTACTAGGGTTTGCTGTACAAATTATTTCATCACCCAGATAATAAGCATAGTACCTGATGGGTAGTTTTTCCATCCTCATCCTCATACCACCCTCCACCCTCAGCTAGGCCCGATGTCTACTGTTCTCTACTTTGTGCACATGTGTACTCATGCGGTATTTGGTTTTCTGTTCTTGCATTAATTTGCTTAGGATTATGGCCTCCAGCTCCATCCATGCCGCTGCAAAGGACATGATTTCATTCTTTTTTATGGCTGTGTAATATTTAATGGTATATTCTTGAAAGACACCAAGTGCTAAGGCTCACTCAAGAAGAAACAACCTGAATAGCTCTATACCTCTTAAAAAATAGATTTCATAATTTAAAACTTTCCAACAAAGGAAGCTCAAAGCCTAAAGACTTCACTGGATAATTCTATCAGATATTTAAGGAGAAATAATACCAGTTTTACTGAAATTCTTCCAGAAAATAGAAAATAAGGAACAACTTTCCAACTCACCTAATTATACCAGCATTAGTCTAATCCAAACTAGACCAAGGCATACAAGAAAAAGACCAGTATACTGAAGACAGAACTAAAATACTAAAAAATAGTCACAGATGACATGATTGACTATATAAAAAAATCTCAATGAGATCACAAAAAACTACTAGAATGAATTTAGCACCCTCATAGGAAGCTAAGTCAATATGAAATAATTGTATACACTGGAATAAACAAATGGAAATTCAAGTTATAAAAACAGTACTATTTATAATGTACTAAAAATGTTAATTACATGGAAGTATATCTAACAAAATCTTTGTAAGATCTGTATGCTGAAACCTACAGAAGACTGATAAAAGAAATAAAAAACCTTAAGACACACCATGTTTACATATTGCAAGACACAGTATTTTTAAGATGTGAAATTTCCCAAAATTGATCTTTAGATTTGTCTATAAATAGTTCTAGAAACATCTTTTATTTAGGTATCTTTAAACATTGTTTGAATAGAGTGAACACATTTGTACACTAAAAACATGTTTCTCAAATTGATGTCCATGTAGCACTTTGGAAACATCTTTTATACACGTGTTTAAAAACAGGTTTTACATCATTGCATACTAGTGAATACCTCCAGTCACTGAAATAACACCATTTTCAACCTGGTACACAAGCGGCACTCTCAGCAACACTTTTACATGTGTGACTTTAAACTCTGTATAACATGTACTACCGTGTTCAATATGCCTTTACTGAAATAACACTGTTCTCAATTTGGTGTGGAAGTTTCACTCAGATATTTCTTCTGCATCTTTGTCTTTCAACACTGTTTACTCACATTAATATGGAGGCCACATCTGAGTTCACCACAAATGATGCATGTAAAGACCCATGTATAAAAGATGATGTAGGAGTTCTACTTGTACAGCTTGTTGGTAGTATTATTTCAGTAAATGAATGTATTCACTATGATGTAATGCATGTAAAACTTTGTTTAAATACAAATGTATAAAAGAGTTTCTTAGATTGTTACTTGGGCACTCATTTGAGAATGTTATTTCAGTGCATGAATACACACACTAATTTATGTAAAACAGTGTTAAAAGACACATATACAAAAGAAGATCTTTAGATTTAATGCAACCCTAATAAAAACTCATCTTGATTATTCTGTAGAAATAAGCTAAGTCTAAAAATTTATATGGAACTGCAAAGGAACAAGAAAGCCAAAGACATTAAAAATAAAAAAAAAAAAAGACCTAAGAAGACTTACATGATCTGATTTCAAGGCTAAATATTCATTAATCAAGAGACTAATGTACTACTGAAAGGATAGGCACAAAGATCAGTGAAAGAAAACAGACTCCAGAAATGGACTGACATAACTGTTCTCTGACTTTTGACACATGTTCAAAGGTAATTCAATCTACAGTCTTCTACAAATAGTACAGAAACTGCTGGATATCCATAAGCAAATAAAGCTTGACCCATACCTCACATAATGTACAAATGTTAACTAAGAATAGATCATAAACCTCAATGTAAAACTTAAAACTCTAAAACTTCTAGAAGAAAACAGGAGAAATATTTTAGGTATGACAGTGAAAGCACAATCAATGAGAGAAACAATTGATAAAATGAACTTCATCAACACTATAAACTTTTTTGAAAGACACTGTTTAAAATGAAAGGACAAGCCATGGACTGTGCAAAAAATATTTACACAAAATACATATCCAATAATGACTTCCATCTAGAATATATAAAAAACTGTCAAAACTTAACAACTAGATTTAAAAATAGCCAAAAGATTTAAGAAGGCATTTCATCAAAAATATATGACAAATAAGCCCATGAAAATATAGTCATTCAGAAAATGCAAATTGAAGTGATAATGAGGTACTATTACATACTTATTACAATTGCTAACATAGTGGTATGGTAAATGTTTAGCTAGGTCTCCAGAAAACATTTAAAAAACCCGGATTAACAGCATTTGTTTCTGTGGTGTAAATCTTGGTTGATTCCAAGCTATAACATAATTTCACTTAGCTCACAAAATTTGTGATAATTTAACAGTTATTTTTTGTGAGCCAATGTGAGCTTATTCTAGTACACCATAGCTAAAGCAAAGCAAAACTGGGAATATCCAATGTTAGTATGTGGAACATCAGGTACTCTCATCCATTATGGTCAGAATGCCAATTGATACAGTCATTTTGTAAAATAGTTTGACAGTTTCTTATCAAGATAAACATACACCTACCATAGGACACAACAATCTCACACCTAGGTATATACCAAGATAAATGAAAACATATCTTAACACAAACTGTTATATATATATTTGTAACTTTTTTTATATTTAACTCCAACTGGCAACAATCCAAATGTCTTTCAACTGGTGAATGAATGAGTTATTCCTATATATATGAATAACAAATTTAAAATGAATAACACATATATGTGAAGAACTCAGATGGTTCATATATAGTGTAGAATATATGTAACCATATTTTAATAGCAATTTTATTTTATTGCCACTCAGCAATAAATAACATGCAATAACATGTTTGAATCTCAATTAGGTAGGCTAAGGGAAAGATGCCAGACTAAGAAACCTGTATACTCTATGAAACCACCTATATCACATTCTGAAAAGGTAAAATTATATATAGATAGGCCTAATCAGGGGTCATGAGGGCTGGGGTTGGGGGAACAGCTTGACTATAAAAGAATAGGAGAGAATTTTCTGTAGTGGTGGAACTGTCCTATATATGGATTATGGTGGTAGTTACATGACTGTGTGATTAATTCAATTGAATTCACTAATTAAATGCCCATGCCCAGGAAAGATGGATGAGTAGACTAGAAATAAAGGGCACTAAGAAAATGGGTAGAGCTGTTAATTTGCTTGAGAATTGATAGTTTCTGAATATACTGAATATACTGAAGAGAAACCTAGAATACAAGGGCCCTTCAGAAACAAGGACTTATGACACACAACATGACACAGGAAAAATATAGGTGATAGCTGATGCAAGGCCAATTTTAGAAACATTACTGAAACTTACAATCAGCGTCATTGGTAAGATTAGGCCCAGATGTCAAGCTTAGATCAGAGGTTTGCAAACTTGCATCAGAATTAGAGGGCTTGTTACAAGAAAAATTACTGTCCATTTTCCAGAATTTCTGCCTGATTAGGTCTGCACTGGGGCCCAAGGACTGATATTTGTAACAAATCCCAACAGATGTTGATGCTGCTGGTCTGGGGACCACCCTGTAAGAACCAGTGACACTATATTACAAGGTGAAGACACCAAGCATTACCAAGTGAGATGAACAGTCAAACTTAAAAAATACACTTCCACTTGCTGTAGATAACATAATAGAGTACAGAAACCAGTCCAAGAAGGAGTTGGACTTCCAAGGATGTGAATCATAGATAATATATAAAAGGGCTGGGGTTCACTCTAAGTCCCTTATCAGATCAATTTGGATCCCATACCAGATATCCTCTATTCTCCCTTCTAGATCCACTCTCCACTTTTCTCCTCTCTGGGAGCCTGGCCTAAATGGATGACATCAATGGGTTCTTTAACTCCATGGCTATAGCCAATGGGAGTCCCTGGCAGGAGATAAGAGGGTTGATTTTGACTGCTGCTTTCCTAGATCTCAGGTTGCAGCTCTTACCAAAGTGCCCTCTTTACATGACTCCTAGATTCTGGTGATGACTCCTTTGTCTTGCCTTTTCAGGCCTAAGGATTAAAAAGCAAACAAACAAAAAAAAACCCTTATTACTAGCTTTTGGGTATTTTCCTATTTCTTATGGTTTCCCTAAGCTTTGCCCACACCTTTAAAAATAGTCCCGTAATATTAAACTATTCTTATTCTAAAATTGAGAATGACATCTGTTTCCTGCTGACCCAGAGGAAAACAAAGATTGGGACCAAAGCGGCTCTACAAAATAGATCCTCTAAGCAGGATTCAGCATTAGGCTGCAGAAAAGCACAGGGATAACCTTTCTGTTGGGGAAACATTGGCATTTGAGGACATCAAGATTTCTCAGATTATCACTGTTAGAATAGAATAAAAGTGCAGGTAAAGGACAAGGTGTCGAGAGTGCAAGTGGTTGTGGCATTAGTTATGGTGGAAAAAAATGATTTTTAAATATGTGGAGCCACCTGGATTCTGTCACCCTAGGGAATGAACATATGGAAGAAGAGCAACTAAAAGCTGTGAATACACAATTAAGAATCAAAAGAGGATAACCAAAAGGCCCGATGGCAGTCTGAAACCCAGCGGCTGTAAGGTAGATATGGCTGACAATCAAACCCTACTCAACATAAAGTGTTGCAGAATTGCCGCACCAATTAAATGCATATCCTGGTGACAGTGAAGGTAAGAGAACTGGTGAGAATATTACATAAGGTATTTGGGCAGACACTGATGAAGCTGAGAATTTGGGCACCCCATTCTTTTGAATCTCTCTTGCCAATGAAATGGTACTCCTTATCCACTTGAAGGTATCAGACCTTCTCTCCATTAAAGCATATTCTTGACTACACCTTACATTTGCCTTACAAGCTGATACCAATTCTCTTCAGCTCCCACCCCTACCACTTGTCATTGGCTCCAGGGTCATAATGAGACTTAGATCTGAATATAACCCTGACAGAAAAAAATGCAAGCATTCTTTGTTCCTACAGAAGGAAATACCTGTTATTTTAAGAGTTACAGGCTTGGCAATTCTATTAGCAAAAAGCCTGGAGAATACATGTGGGAGCAAATTCTACGATGGACCAAATGTAAGTTACATTTGGGTTGGATTTATTGTCTCAGATGCAAACATCTGAAACCTGGGATTTAATGAAATCACCAGAAGAGTAACCTATTCTGTTAATTCTGGCATTCAATGGAAACACCAGAAAGAGCAACCTATTCTGGTAAGTTGGCTAATTAAAGCCTAGAGTCAAATTTGACCTACAGCTAATAACAAAACTTCTCTGACATACCATAGAGAGAAGAATCCAAAGGTCCAGGGTGATAGAATATTGGAATCAGTTTAGTACTCTCTTCACCAAAGATTTAAAGATATTTTGAAAAAGAAGCAAAGGCAACCCTGAAGAGCTCTGTAGTGTCCATTTTCTGAAGGCTGGAGATGATGGTAAAAGCTGTTGCCCTGGAAATGGGTTTCTTGCTCTTAATCATTTAATTCCACAGTGCCAGAGTGACGAGTGAAGTAATCAGGGTATCGATCCAGGGCAATCTATGGCAATGACACCTGGGTTACAACTCTCTAAAAATGAAATAGCTGGACAGCCTAGTAAGGTGCTTATGATATATTTAAGTAGAAGGAAGAGAGCCTGGGTGAAGCACTTGCTTTACCCTATTATCCTCATCTTTGGCCTCACCTCTCAGTGATTGTTGATGCTGCTGAGTGGGAATCTGGTGGTTCTTGACTCAAACTTGTTTTTCGCTTGCTCAGGCTGAGTTATGGAGCTCCTTTCTTCCTCTTTGTAGGCTGGATGCTGGTCTTTTCTTCAACTCCCATTGCTCTTCCTTTATGCAGACTGCGCATTCTTTGTCACTCTTTGGAGCTCATATGGTCTTGTGATTTTTTGAATCCTAACTTGCGCTGTTCCCTCCTGTAACTTGACTTTTTAAACGCTCTCAATATATATTGTCAAGTTGGCCCTCCAGAAAGTTAGTAATTATTTGCATTCCCATAGTGGCATGTGAGTTACATTTCTTAAGAGTCCCACTAAAACTGAGTGTTATTATTCCTTTTATATGTTGTCTATCAGCCCAATATGTGATCTTTAAGTTTTTTAGTATTAGTGAAAATAGAACATTTCCCTTGTTTATTGGTTGAGATTGGCATTTAACTTTTTAGACCAGTTTTCCACAGCATGGTCAAATTTTCAAAAAATATATCAACATATATCATATATATTCATATATGTATACATCTGTATATGATATATATGTAAATATTGAATAGTTTCCACTCTAATTTGAAGTGACAATTTACGATATGCTAAATTCTTATAAACACCTAGGTCTAGTTATAAACAATTGTCTCACACATGTGAATAGACTAGTATCACACTATGTTACTAGTAATGTTCTCATTACCTTGCTTTTAAAAAAATGGTCACAGCTATTTTCTTACTTCTACAAAGTAAACTTTATAATCACTTTGTGAAATAAATCCTCCCCATTGAATATCTGATTAGAATTTTTCATTTGTAGTTTAATGTGTGGAGACTCAAAATCTCTATAGTAGTCTTCTCATTCCAGACACAGCTTTCCTCTTATTCAAGATTATTTTTGAGCAAAGTTGCTATATTTACCTTATCTAAATTCATTTATTAAATCTAACAGTTTTTCAACGAATTTTATTAGGTTGTCATGAGTCAACCATATCAGCAGCAAATGATTTTCTCCTCCTTTGGAGTTTTATCTTGTTACTTCAATTAGCATTTTCAGAGTACTAAACATGGAATTAACAACAATTTTATCTCACTATTACCTTTAGGCTGAAGCTCAAACTTCTAAAGTGGCTTACAAGACCTCTCATGATGTGCCCCTTGAGTCTCTCTGTAGCTTTACCTCTATGAAATGAAAGCTCCATTCTTTCCCAATGCTGTATTCTAGTAGATGAACTTATGTTTCCTGAACTTGCCATGCCCTCATCCCTTTATAGCTTTGTGCCCCTCGTTTTGCCTTTATCATCTCTCCTAACATTTCCACACTTGCCAGACACAATCTGGTTAATCTACACTCTTCATGTTTCAGCTTAGATATCGACCTTTGATGGTATATAGTAAAACTCAAATATGTGATGATTAATATTGAGTGCCAACTTGATTGGATTGAAGGATGCAAAGTATTGTTCCCGAGTGTGACTGTGAGGGTGTTGCCAAAGGAGATTAACATTTGAGTCAGTGGACTGGGAAAGGCAGACCGACCCTCAATCTGGGTGGACACAATCTAATCAGCTGCCAGTGTGGCCAAAATAAAAGGCAGGAGAAATTGGAACGACTAGACTGGCTTAGTCTTCCAGCCTACTACTTCGTCCAGTTCCGGATGCTTCCTACCCTTGAACATCAGACTCCGAGTTCAGCTTTGGGACTCTTGGACCTTCAACCACAGACTGAAGGCTGCGCTGTCAGCTTCCCTACTTTTGAGGTTTTGGGACTTGGACTCTTATGTAAAATTGGGACTTGGCTTCCTTGCTCCTCAGCTTGCAGGCAGCCTATTGTGGGACCTCACTTTGTGACAGTGTAAATCAATACTCCTTAATAAACTCCCCTTTATATATACATTTATCCTATTGGTTCTGTCCCTCTAGAGAACGCTAATACAATGTACTAAATAAACAGGCTTGTGAAACAAGGCTGCGAGAAGATGTTAATTGGCTATAAATGCTCTGCAAGAGCTTTAAATGCACTCCAAAAATTATTATTTGAAACTATGTTATGTTAAACTTAGTGAACATAGTAAACACTTTTTTAAGAAAGCTTGGAGATTTAGGAGAAAAAAATAAGTATTTTACTTAGGCTCAAATAGCTAGTTGTTCAAAGAAAAGATAAAGAGTGAAAATAGTACTTCTATCTTTCAACCATCCAAAAGAAAATCACAGCTTATTTTCAAAAATTGAAATATTGGACTTGGAATACCTAAATTTAAAAAGTCAGAATCCATTGTATTTAATGTAAGTACTATGATGAATGAACATACCTCAAGAATTTTTTACATTCAGAGTGCTTTTCTCTTGTTAGGCTTCTCTACAAGTTATCTCTTGTTTATACGAATTTCTATATCAATTACTTATGTAGGGCTTTGTCCTAATAAAACTTGTGTTGCAATATAAAGGATGAACAAACATAGATTTTGACATTATTTAATCATAGGAGTTCACTCCAGTATACCTTTTCTGCCTTTGAATAAGGTATGAACCTTCACAAAAAGCTACCATCATCATTAATTGGGAATGTCTCCAGTGTGAATTTTTTGGGGCAGATTAAGTCATACTTCTTGGCTCAAGAACCAGATGGGATCCTGAGGTAGTTTACAGAAGACACAGTTCTGGTGTACAGAGTATAGGAGACTTTAATAACTTCATAATGTCTGGTATAAATGATATACCTAAGGCTATGGACGTCTCTCCAGCCTAAATTCCCAAAGGTACAGTAAGTCTGCACTGAACATCATCAATAGGTTCTTAGGAACTGCAACTTTAAGTGAAATGATGTATAACAAAACCAATTTTACCATAGACTAATGGATACAAACAAGAGTTAAGTTCCTAAGGCAAATGTCTGGTCACAACATCATCAAACTTCTAAAGACCCCAAACGCTTCCAATATCAGACATTAAAATAAATCTGAGCTATATACACATTTAAGACGGATTAATAAAAACAGATAAGATAATTATTTACCCTGTTATTCCAGTACAGGGCCATGGGTGGACAGAGCGCATCCTAGCAGCTCAGGGCAATGGTGGGAACAAACCCTGATTAGGAGCCATTCCACTGCAGGGCACACTTCCTCACAAACTCAGACTGAGATAATTTAGATATGTCAATTAACCTAATGTATACATCTTTGGGGTTTGAAACTGGAGCACCCGGAGACATAGGGAGAGTGTGCGAACTCCACACAGTGTCCCTGGCTGGGAATCGATATTTTTCTCATCAACATCATAACAATTATAACATTATAACAAAACAAAAACATTTTTCAAGGACCTGCTATAAACAAATGCAGATTTTAAGAATACATATAGATTAACAGCAATACATACTTCTCCCATTGCAGTTGATAACCCTTTCCCAACTCTAGTCTCCATTCAACAGCAAGACAACAAAGGGTATTGTCAGGAGTGGAGTAAATGGCTGTTACTGTTGTCTTAGCCATTGATTCAGAGATTTCTGTCCTTAGAAGTATTCTCTTATATTCGCATGAGCTAATGATTTCTTGTGACCTTCTTAAAAGGGCTGAGTTTTATTAAATATCAACTCCAAGAGTATTGTTTGGCTTTGCCTAATGTCTACTTCGTCAATAAATCAGGTGGATATTAGTATGCTATAGACCTATTTATGAACTAGGGAGAGGTGAGGGTAATGGATATCAAAATAATGATAAACAAATACTTGTATGGTGATACTGTGGTTTAACTCCAAAGCCTTATGGCTTCATCTGAAAACCAGGAAAATTCCTTCAAACAGATTTCTATCCAATGATATTTCTATCCAACATTAATTCTGTGATATCATTTAAAGAAAAATCTGACAAATGTTTTCTTACATTATATTCATGAGATTTTATCCAGCATAAATTCATGATGTTAAATGAGTTCTGCATTCTGACTGAAGGTAATCTTTCATTTTTTCTTTTTTCAGGACTTATCTCGAGTATGCAGTTTTTGATGTTTAACAAGGTTTGAACTCCTGTTGAAGGCTTTACTACATTCCTTACATTTGAATGGTTTCTCTCCCGTGTGAATCATTTGGTGTCGAATAAGAGAGGAGCTCCGGTTGAAGGATTTTCCACAGTTAACACATTGATAGAAATTGTTTCCAAAATGGAGTGTTGGATTATTACTGTCTTCACTTTTACTGAAGGCCTTTCCACATTTATTGCTTGTGCAGGCCTTTGCTTCAGCATGAAGTTTTTGATGCTTAGTAAGGTTTGTACGTCGGTTGAAGAATCTCCCACATTCACTGCATTTATAGGGTTTCTCTCCTGTGTGAATGATCTGATGTCGAATAAGGGATGAACTTCGGCAGAAGGCTTTCCCACATTGATAACATTCATAGGAATTCATTGTAGTATGACTTTTTTGGTGTCGAATATCTGTACTCAAACTCAAGTCATTCCCATATTCATATTCTGAATGTTGCTTACCTACTGAGTCTAAATTAAATTTGAAGTAAGTTTTAAACTTATCACATTTTGGAGACCCCTTTCTTGAAGGAATTCCCACTTGTATAGCACAAATTGAGCTAACTGAATTAATATCAAAGCTTTTCTTATTTTCACTACATTCAAAATCTTCCTCCTCAGTGTAAATTGTCTCAGGAATGAAAGCCTCTTGTGGCAAATTTATGTCCCATTTTTTCTGGTTCCTATATAACCAATTCTCACCTTTCCAGGCATCTGAAGAAGGGTGTCCACTTTCGGTAAGCCTTGTCATAATCACTCCATGGGATGATTCTTCTCCAGAAATACTCTTCATGTCTAAAGAGAAATAAAAAATGCCATGAACTAGAAGGGAAACTGCTTCAATAGGAAATGGAGGCTGAACTGTATAAGGTATATGCATATACCACGGGTCTTAAATACAGAATGGAAATGTGAGGCAAGGTTAGAAAAAAATACTTATAAAAGAAATAAATGGTACAAAAATGTTAAAAGGAGGTTAGTAAATAAAATAGGAGAGCTATTCTGGAATACTAAAAAAACGGTATAGGGCTCGAGTAAAATATCTTTACATGAACAAGGATGCGGGTGGCATATCATATCATAATTCAAGTTATCACTGGTTCGTAACTAGTGTATGAAGTCTCTGCCTAATATTCCTTCTTCTAGCATCTTGTTTATCCCAAGCTGTTTACCAATAAATATTCCTTTCTATAAAACACCAGTAATAATTTTAAGAACATGTCTGTATTCCCAGGCACCATACCTTAACCAGCTAAAAGCAAACTTGCAATCATAGTGCCCCCATTTTCCATACAGCCACAATTACTCCCTACATATAACAAAGGCAAAAAGAACTCTAATATAAGATAGCAGGAAGTCCTTTTTCTGGGCTCAAAATAACTCCCAATTCCAACATTAGTGCTTTGGTACTTTTCTACTGTACTTCCTAGAATTCAAAACTTTACCGTTCTAATTAAGATTGGGTCTCTTCCTTTCACCTGTCCTCATTTCCGTTTTATTTAATTATGTTCCACTTCCTTTCTCAAAATTCCTCTCATTTAGCTTCTATATACTCTGTATACTCTATATTCTAGCAATTTTTTAAAAATTAAATTTCATATATGGAGCCAAGATGGCCGAATAGGAACAGCTCCGGTCTACAGCTCCCAGCGTGAGTGACGCAGAAGACGGGTGACTTCTGCATTTCCATCTGAGGTACTGGGTTCACCTCACTAGGGAGTGCCAGACAGTGGGCGCAGGACAGTGGGTGCAGTGCACCCTGCGCAAGCCGAAGCAGGGCGAGGCATTGCTTCACTCGGGAAGCGCAAGGGGTCAGGGAGTTCCCTTTCCTAGTCAAAGAAAGGGGTGACAGATGGCACCTGGAAAATCGGGTCACTCCCACCCTAATACTGCGCTTTCCCGACAGGCTTAAAAAATGGCGCACCAGGAGATTATATCCTGCACCTGGCTCGGGTCCTACACCCACGGAGTCTCCCTGACTGCTAGCACAGCAGTCTGACATCAAACTGCAAGGTGGCAGCGAGGCTGGGGGAGGGGCTCCCGCCATTGCCCAGGCTTGCTTAGGTGAACAAAGCAGCCAGGAAGCTTGAACTGGGTGGAGCCCACCACAGCTCAAGGAGGCCTTCGTGCCTCTGTAGGCTCCACCTCTGGGGGCAGGGCACAGACAAACAAAAAGACAGCAGTAACCTCTGCAGACTTAAATGTCCCTGTCTGACAGCTTTGAAGAGAGCGGTGGTTCTCCCAGCACGCAGCTGGAGATCTGAGAACGGGCAGACTGCCTCCTCAAGTGGGTCCCTGAACCCTGACCCCCGAGCAGCCTAACTGGCAGGCACTCCCCAGTAGGGGCAGACTGACATCTCACACGGCCGGGTATTCCTCTGAGACAAAACTTCCAGAGAAACGATCAGACAGCAGCATTCTGGTTCACAAAAATCCGCTGTTCTGCAGCCACCATTGCTGGTACCCAGGCAAACAGGGTCTGGAGTGGACCTCTAGCAAACTCCAACAGACCTGCAGCTGAGGGTCCTGTCTGTTAGAAGGAAAACTAACAAACAGAAAGGACATCCACACCAAAAACCCATCTGTACATCACCATCATCAAAGACTAAAAGTAGATAAAACCACCAAGATGGGGAAAAAACAGAGCAGAAAAACTGGAAACTCTAAAGAGCAGAGTGCCTCTCCTCCTCCAAAGGAACGCAGTTCCTCACAAGCAACGGAACAAAGCCGGACGGAGAATGACTTTGACGAGTTGAGAGAAGAAGGCTTCAGATGATCAAACTACTTCAAGCTACAGGAGGAAATTCAAACCAAAGGCAAAGAAGGTGAAAACTTTGAAAAAATTTTAGACAAATGTATAACTAGAATAACCAATACAGAGAAGTGCTTAGAGTAGCTGATGGAGCTGAAAACCAAGGCTCGAGAACTATGTGAAGAATGCAGAAGCCTCAGGAGCTGATGCGATCAACTGGAAGAAAGGGTATCAGTGATGGAAGATGAAATGAATGAAATGAAGCAAGAAAGGAGGTTTAGAGAAAAAAGAATAAAAAGAAACAAACAAAGCCTCCAAGAAATATGGGACTATGTGAAGAGACCAAATCTACGTCTGATTGGTGTATCTGAAAGTGACGGGGAAAATGGAACCAAGTTAGAAAACACTCTGCAAGACATTTTCCAGGAGAACTTTCCCAATCTAGCAAGGCAGGCCAACATTCAGATTCAGGAAATACAGAGAATGCCACAAACATACTCCTTGAGAAGAGCAACTCCAAGACATACAATTGTCAGATTCACCAAAGTTGAAATGAAGGAAAAAATGTTAAGGGCAGCCAGAGAGAAAGGTCGGGTTACCCACAAAGGGAAGCCCATCAGACTAACAGCGGATCTCTTGGCAGAAACTCTACAAGCCAGAAGAGAGTGGGGGCCAATATTCAACATTCTTAAACAAAAGAATTTTCAAACCAGAATTTCATATCCAGCCAAACTAAGCTTCATACGTGAAGGAGAAATAAAATACTTCACAGACAAGCAAATGCTGAGAGATTTTGTCACCACCAGGCCTGCCCTAAAAGAGCTCCTGAAGGAAGCACTAAACATGGAAAGGAACAACCGGTACCAGCCACTGCAAAATCATGCCAAATTGTAAAGACCATCGAGGCTACGAAGAAACTGCATCAACTAACCAGCAAAATAACCAGCTAACATCATAATGATAGGATCAAACTCACACATAACAATATTAACTTTACATGTAAATGGACTAAATGCTCCAATTAAAAGACACGGACTGGCAAATTGGATAAAGAGTCAAGACCCATCAGTGTGCTGTATTCAGGAAACCCATCTCATGTGCAGAGACACACATAGGCTCAAAATAAAAGGATGGAGGAAGATCTACCGAGCAAATGGAAAACAAAAAAAGGTAGGGGTTGCAATCCTAGTCTCTGATAAAACAGACTTTAAACCAACAAAGATCAAAAGAGACAAAGAAGGCCATTACATAATGGTAAAAGGATCAATTCAACAAGAAGAGCTAACTATCCTAAATATATATGCACCCAATACAGGAGCACCCAGATTCATAAAGCAAGTCCTGAGTGACCTACAAAGAGACTTAGACTCCCACACAATAATAATGGGAGACTTCAACACCCTACTGTCAACATTAGATAGATCAACAAGACAGAAAATTAACAAGGATACCCAGGAATTGAACTCAGCTCTGCACCAAGCAGACCTAATAGACATCTACAGAACTCTCCAGCCCAAATCAACAGAATGTACATTTTTTTCAGCACCACACCACACCTATTCCAAAACTGACCACATACTTGGAAGTAAAGCTCTCCTCAGCAAATGTAAAAGAATAGAAATTATAACAAACTGTCCCTCAGACCACAGTGCAATCAAACTAGAACTCAGGGTTAAGAAACTCACTCAAAACCACTCAACTACATGGAAACTAAACAACCTGCTCCTGAATGACTACTGGGTGCATAACGAAATGAAGGCAGAAATAAAGATGTTCTTTGAAACCAGTGAGAACAAAGACACAACATACCAGAATCTCTGGGACACATTCAAAGCAGTGTGTAGAGGGAAATTTATAGCACTAAATGCCCACAAGAGAAAGCAGGAAAGATCCAAAATTGACACCCTAACATCACAATTAAAAGAACTAGAAAAGCAAGAGCAAATGCATTCAAAAGCTAGCAGAAGGCAAGAAATAACTAAAATCAGAGCAGAACTGAAGGAAATAGAGACACAAAAAACCCTTCAAAAAATTAATGAATCCAGGAGCTGGTTTTTTGAAAGGATCAACAAAATTGATAGATCACTAGCAAGACTAATACAGAAGAAAACAGAGAAGACTCTGATAGACTCAATAAAAAATGATAAAGGAGATATCACCACCGATCCCACAGAAATACAAACTACCATCAGAGAATACTACAAACACCTCTATGCAAATAAACTAGAAAATCTAGAAGAAATGGATAAATTCCTCGACACATACACCCTCCCAAGACTAAACAAGGAAGAAGCTGAATCTCTGAACAGACCAATAACAGGCTCTGAAATTATGGCAACAATCAATAGCTTACCAACCAAAAAGAGTCCAGGACCAGATGGATTCACAGCCGAATTCTACCAGAGGTACAAGGAGGAACTGGTACCATTCCTTCTGAAACTATTCCAATCAATAGAAAAAGAGGGAATCCTCCCTAACTCATTTTATGAGGCCAGCATCATCCTGATACCAAAGCCTGGCAGAGACACAACAAAAAAAGAGAATTTTAGACCAATATCCTTGATGAACATTGATGCAAAAATCCTCAATAAAATACTGGCAAAGCAAATCCAGCAGCACATGAAAAAGCTTATCCACCATGATCAAGTGGGCTTCATCCCTGGTATGCAAGGCTGGTTCAATATACGCAAATCAATAAATGTAATCCAGCATATAAACAGAACCAAAGACAAAAACCACATGATTATCTCAATAGATGCAGAAAAGGCCTTGGACAAAATTCAACAACCCTTCATGCTAAAAACTCTCAATAAATTAGGTATTGATGGGACGTATCTCAAAATAATAAGAGCTATTTATGACAAACCCACAGCCAATATCATACTGAATGGACAAAAACTGGAAGCATTGCCTTTGAAAATTGGCACAAGACAGGGATGCCCTCTCTCACCACTCCTATTCAACATAGTGTTGGAAGTTCTGGCCAGGGCAATCAGGCAGGAGAAGGAAATAAAGGGTATTCAATTAGGAAAAGAGGAAGTCAAATTGTCCCTGTTTGCAGATGACATGATTGTATATCTAGAAAACCCCATCGTCTCAGCCCAAAATCTCCTTAAGCTGATAAGCAACTTCAGCAAAGTCTCAGGATACAAAATCAATGTACAAAAATCACAAGCATTCTTATACACCAATAACAGACAAACAGAGAACCAAATCATGAGTGAACTCCCATTCACAATTGCTTCAAAGAGAATAAAATACCTAGGAATCCACTTTACAAGGGACGTGAAGGACCTCTTCAAGGAGAACTACAAACCACTGCTCAATGAAATTAAAGAGGATACAAACAAATGGAAGAACATTCCATGCTCATGGGTAGGAAGAATCAATATCGTGAAAATGGCCATACTGCCCAAGGTAATTTATAGATTCAATGCCATCCCCATCAAGCTACCAATGACTTTCTTCACAGAATTGGAAAAAACTACTTTAAAGTTCATATGGAACCAAAAAAGAGCCCCATCGCCAAGTCAATCCTAAGCCAAAAGAACAAAGCTGGAGGCATCACGCTACCTGACTTCAAACTATACTACAAGGCTACAGTAACCAAAACAGCATGATACTGGTACCAAAACAGAGATATAGATCAATGGAACAGAACAGAGCCCTCAGAAATAACGCCGCATATCTACAACTATCTGATCTTTGACAAACCTGACAAAAACAAGCAATGGGGAAAGGATTCCCTATTTAATAAATGGTGCTGGGAAATCTGGCTAGCCATATGTAGAAAGCTGAAACTGGATCCCTTCCTTACACCTTATACAAAAATTAATTCAAGATGGATTAAAGACTTAAACGTTAGACCTGAAACCATAAAAACCCTAGAAGAAAACCTAGGCATTACCATTCAGGACATAGGCGTGGGCAAGGACTTCATGTCTAAAACACCAAAAGCAATGGAAACAAAAGCCAAAATTGACAAATGGGATCTGATTAAACTAAAGAGCTTCTGCACAGCAAAAGAAACTACCATCAGAGTGAACAGGCAACCCACAAAATGGGAGAAAATTTTCGCAACCTACTCATCTGACAAAGGGCTAATATCCAGAATCTACAATGAACTCAAATAAATTTACAAGAAAAAAACAAACAACGCCATCAACAAGTGGGCGAAGGACATGAACAGACATTTATACAGCCAAAAAACACATGAAAAAATGCTCACCATCACTGGCCATCAGAGAAATGCAACTCAAAACCACAATGAGATACCATCTCACACCAGTTAGAATGGCGATCATTAAAAAGTCAGGAAACAACAGGTGCTGGAGAGGATGTGGAGAAACAGGAACACTTTTATACTGTTGGTGGGACTGTAAACTAGTTCAACCATTGTGGAAGTTAGTGTGGCGATTCCTCAGGGATCTTGAACTAGAAATACCATTTGACCCAGCCATCCCATTACTGGGAATATACCCAAAGGATTATAAATCATGCTGCTATAAAGACACATGCACACGTATGTTTATTGAGGCACTATTCACAATAGCAAAGACTTGGAACCAACCCAAATGTCCAACAATGATAGACTGGATTAAGAAAATGTGGCACATATACACCATGGAATACTATGCAGCCATAAAAAATGATGAGTTCATGTCCTTTGTAGGGACATGGATGAAATTGGAAATCATCATTCTCAGTAAACTATCGCAAGGACAAAAAACCAAACACTGCATGTTCTCACTCATAGGTGGGAATTGAACAATGAGAACACATGGACACAGGAAGGGGAACATCACACTCTGGGACTGTTGTGGGGTGGGGGGAGGGGGGAGGGATAGCATTAGGAGATATACCCAATGCTAAATGACGAGTTAATGGGTGCAGCACACCAGCATGGCACATGTATACAAGTGTAACCTGCACATTGTGCACATGTACCCTAAAACTTAAAGTATAATAATAATAAAATAAAAATAAAAAAATTAAATTTCACTGACTTTTTTCTTGTAACTTCAAGTATGCCTAATAATTTTATTCTCCAACATTTATTGGTGACCAAATCATGTCAGCTTCGCACTCACATACATTACTGTTCCTTGTTTTCATCACTTTCTAGGACATCTCCACTTGACTATCATAGTCCTCTAGCTTAACAAATGAGAGACTGAAGTCATCTTCCATATTGAAAAAACTTCAGTGTCTTCATTTTTGAGTCTTTGCTTTTCTAATATTTATACTGGAGTCCATAAAAAAACAATAACCATTGTCCTTCGTCTCCCATATCAAATCTGTGCTTTGGTTCTATTATTTTATAAAATTTCCTGTCTCCGCCTCACCAGTGTACACTGGGTGTGTGGGGGCAGATAGCTTGTTCCTTTAATTCACAAGTCTTCAGAGAGAGAAATGTCTTCTAAACCTGGACCTAATTTAGATGAGATCCTAGACTTCAACCTTGATGCCATAGTAGGTGAGACTCTGGGGGTCTTATTATGAGAGAGTAAATATATTTTGCAAGGGAGAAGAACACAAATATTTTGTAGCCAGAGGACAGATTATGGTAGATCAAAATGGCTGCACATCCTTTGCCACACTCCCCATCCTGAAGTAGAGTTTATTCTGCTTCTCCTTGAATCTGGGCAGATCCAATGATTGCTAAGCCAACAGAATGTGGCAGAAGTGACACTATACCACTTCTAGACCTAGTCTTTAAGGTGACATCTTCTGATTTCTCTCAGGATGTTGCCTGTTAGAACCCAGCCACCTTGCTGTGAGAAGCCCAAGCCTCAAAGAGAGGCCACATGCAGGTGCTCTGGCCCATAAGAACAGTTAAGTTCTGAGAATCAGCCAGCATTAACTACCACCCATGTGATGTGCCATCTTGGACATTCCATCCCATTTGAGCCCTGGAATGCTGCATTCCCAGCTAACATCGTATGGAACATAAGAACTCCTCAGTCAACTCACAAAATTTGAGAATACAATGATTGCTCTTTTAAGTCACTATGTTTTGGGTAATCTGTTAAAAGTAACAGATAACCAAAAACAGTGTTCTAGTAGTATTTATGTAATAGCAGAATTTCCAATTGTATTTCCCTAATTAAATCTTTGTTACTCATGTTTGTACAACTCATTTTTCATATAACTTCCTCACTGTTTTTTATTTTGTTATTTATTTATTTATTTTAGAGACAGGGTCTTGCTGTTGCCCAGGATGGGATGCAGTGATACAATCATAGCTCACTGCGGCCTCCAACTCCTGAACTCAAGCAATCCTCCAAGCAGCTACGATTACAGGTATGCACCACCATGCCCAGCTTATTTTTTTGTAGAGATGGAGTCTTGCCATGGTGCCCAGTCTGGTCTTGAATTCCTGGCTTCAAGAAGTCCTCCTGCCTTGGCAAAGTCTACATCATGATGGAGACTATGACATAGATTTTGTGGTCATCTTTAATCCACCACAATCCATTAACTATTTGAGAAAATAAGTTACATTTATTGAAGTAAATTCCAGATTAATTTCTTATGTTTAGATGAGGAGATAGATGAAAGTAGAATATAATCAGAAAATGTTTCCTAGTTTTAAGATGGAAAAACATGTGTAAAATGAACAGATATAAAACAATGGGGAAATACAGAGTTACATAAATTTTAAAAAAGTGTGGCAGACACCATGAATAAAAGTAAAAAACAAAACTCTGAGATATCCCATTTGCCACAACTGTGATCCACAGAATTTAAATAAGATGTTAATACATTAAAAACCCCTACAGTTTTAATCAATAAACCACATAAACAGCCCTTTACTAAATGACAACCCAAAAAATAATTTTTACCTTTCTTATCTAATATCTATCCATCCGTCTTTTTTTCTCTTATTCCTATATGCACCACGGGCTGGAGATGTACAGGTAGGGTAAAAAGAAACATTATGCCTACCCTCAAAGAACATACAGCCTAATGTGGGAGACAAATATTCACAGAGACACATGTAAAATATAATTGTGATAACTGCTAAAAGGAAGAGTAAGGTGCTGCACAAGCGTACAACTGAAAAAAACCAAGTTAGGAAAGACTTCCTTAAGGAAATGTGCACTTATTTGAGATCTGAGGAATAAGGGTCAATTAGGTAAAGAACGGGGGGAAGAGTGTCCTATGTCAAAAGCTGGGATGGGAGAACACAAGCCACATTCCAGGGACAACCAGAATGCGTTCCCTTAGAATCATCTTTTCTCTGCTGCACACCAACACCTGTGAGAGTGCTTAGGACACAGTATATAGATGCTTAATATATATTTGATGTTGATTTTCTGAAAGTAGATAGGTGTGGCTTGAGTACAAAGAGTGAGGGGAGGATGTGGTGCAAGGTGAGATTGGAGAAGTAGGCAGAGAATAGAATGTTGTGAAATAAACAATACTGAAATCAATATAGTATTTAAAAAATGCAGATCACAAAATCTGATCTCCTTGGTTGCAGTATGGTTCCAAGATTGGAGTTGCGGCAATAATAATAGAGCTGAGAAGTATGCCAATGTGGTGGTTCAGGTGAGAGATGATGGTACCTAGACTAGCAAAGCAGCACTGCAGTTGGACAAAAGTGGAGACATTCAAGAGATAATGGGGAAGTAAAATAGGAACAAATATTAGAGAAGTGAAGGAGAAGAAGTTGTGTCAAGAATAGTTAAACTGTATCTTGTGTAACTAGGTAGAGGGCAGTGTCATTTACTCAGGGAATAATAGAAGAGTAGAAAGGGAAAAAAAATCAGACTTCAGTTTCATGGAATTTAAGGCATCTTTAAGATATCCCAGAGAAATGTCATAGCATATATAAATCTCCAGAGAAAAAGTCTGATCCAAGGATATACATCTGTAAATCCTATATATGTGAAATAATTTAAGTTTTAGTTGTGGATGTAATAAACTAGGGAAGAAAAGAGCAAGAAGAGAAGACAAAACAAGATTAAATATTGACAAACTCTGAAATTTATCAGATAGCTAGAGAAAGCTAAGTCTGCAAAAGACAGAGATAGAATAGCCAACCAAAGAGGAAAATCAGAAGTATTACGAGAACCTAAAAATGTTTTAAGAAAAAGGCATAGTTAACAGTGTGACTTGCTGCTGAGAATTCAAGTGAGATAAGGAATGTCTCAAAAATATCTATTGGAGTTAGCTACATGAAGTCATTAAAAACTTTAGCAACAACTGTTTCAGGTGAATGTCTGGGGTAAGAGCTAAATTGAAATAGGGTACGGAATAGGAGGTGAGGAAATGAGAAAAACAAGCATAAAGTACTTTGAGAAGTTTGGCTACAAAGAAGAGGTGAGAAAAAGAGTAATAGCTAGAGGAGGATGTAGGGTTGAATGAAAACTTTTAAAAATCAGTAACGACCAGAAAAGTTTAAAAAGCTGATGGAAAAATGAGACAGAAATGGTGAAAATACAAGTGAGAAAAGGTAGGGACAAATGAGGTCCAAAGCACAATGGGAGCGGGGACCGAGGGTATTTACCTTAGAAAGGAAGAAAAGAGTAATTTGCCTATGAAATTAATAAAGAATTCGGGTAAGTAATACCCAGTGTTTGCTAGGATGATGATAAAGAGATAATAATACTCTATTATTAGAGTATGAATTGGTATAACCTTTCTGTAGACAATTTAGCATAATGTAAGACAACTAAAAATATTTATACTCTTTAATGTCAAGTTCCTCTTCTAATAGGGTATCCTATGGAAGTTATCAGACATGCCTGAAAAATTGGCAACAATCTAAATGTCCAACAGTGGAGGGGCAGGGGGAATGGTTAAATGTATTATGATATAATTGAATATTTTATGGGAATTAGAAACCACATTTTCAAAATTAGTGAAATAGGTAATCACGATGGTATGTTAGGTGAAAAGAGGATATAAAATGACGTATTCCTGATGAATTCTGGAAAAATTTTGAAAATTGTTCCACAATTTCAGAAAAGAAATATTCAGAAACCACAGAGATAAAACATTACAAACAAAGAAAATGGCTTAAAAAATGTTAATACTACATAGCTCTGGATACTGAAGTAATGAGCAAGTTATATTCCTTATTTTTCTACACTTACTAGAACTTATATTAATATCACAATTTTATTTTCTCTTACAAAGTATTAACAAGAATGAGGAATAAACAAAAATGAAGAAGATAGGGAGTTAAGGCAAAAGTTAAGAAGTTCTCCAGGTAGAAGCTGAGGCAGGAGGATCACTTGAGCTCAGGAGTTTGAGGCCAGCCTGGGCAACACAGTGAGAACTCCGTTCCCAGAAAATAAAATAAGTGATACAGTTTAAAAAAAAAAAAAAAAAGGAAAAATGGAAGATTACTAGAAATCACTCTAGTATAAAGTTGACTTCTTTTCTTTAAAATAAAGAATAACATTCAAAGTTAGGTGGGGTAATTTTCATTGATGTAGCACTTACCATGTACCATGCACTGTTCTCTGTTGCCCAGGCTGGAGTGCAGTGGTGCGATCTTGGCTCACTGCAAGCTCCGCCTCCCGGGTTCACGCCATTCTCCTGCCTCAGCCTCCCTAGTAGCTGGGACTACAGGCGCCCGCCACCACACCCGGCTAATTTTTTGTATTTTTTAGTAGAGACAGGGTTTAACGGTGTTAGCCAGGATGGTCTCGATCTCCTGACCTTGTGATCCGCCCGCCTCCGCCTTCCAAAGTGCTGGGATTACAGGCGTGAGCCACCACGCCCAGCCATACCATGCACTATTCTAAGTGTACTAGGCACACCAACTCATTTAGTCCTCACAGTAACCTGGAGGTAGATACTATTATTAACTCTATGTTACAGATGAGGAAACTGGCAGAAAGGCTCTCTCAGGTCACACAGCTTTAAGTGTCTGTGGTCCTATCCCTAACCTTATGTGACTGTTTTACCACATAAGAAAAAGAACCTGTGAACAAAAGCGAATAATGTCTTTTCCCCCTCAAAGTTTAGGTTTTGCTATCTCCTTCCCAACTAACAATTCAAAGATTGGGTTGCACATTGTCTGTATGTTTAGGAAACAGAAGCTTCTTACTATGGCCTCATATCTACCTGGTTCTTACCAAAAATAGTCTTCCTTGGTATTTCTTTCTCCATTATCCATCTTTTTTTCTTACTCTCCAACTTAAGGCTCTCAAATGGTTTGGAAAGTAGATGTGCTGTTCATGGAGAAAATAAAAAGAACAACAACAACAAACATATATGACACTTCAGACATTTTTATAGAGAAGATAATTCTATCCCGACACAGTAATCCAAGCTGCTGAAGGGTAAGGCCAGAAGAGCACCATAGACTTGTGTATCTCTGGCTCAATATCAGAAAGGACTTTCATCCAGATGAGTCAGAAAATCTGCTACTGTGTCCAAAGGATATTAGCAAACCTCAACCCAGACCCAAAAGTGAACTTAGCCACTTCAGCAGTCCTATAGCTTTTAACGGTAGGAAGAGATTACTAAATGGACAGATTAGGTAAACATATAGAAACCACCTTTACGCAATGAATTCAGGTTCCTAAAGTTTTCCAGCATCACATTCCTGTACAGGTTCTTTACAGCAGAGTCCAGTTGCCCCCACTCTTCCTTGCTGAATTCCACAACCACATCTTTGAATGTCACTGGTTCCTAAAACATTAAGTTCCTTTTTAATCAAAGGTGTCACTCCCCAAAACACTACCAGAGAAGGAATGGATTTGAAGGAATAGGGTAGGAGCCAGAATACACCAGAAATTGATAGGACAATGTCTGAGGACAATGTTTGAGGTTCTAAGTGATGAAAATCAAATTTTAGTAAGGGCCAAACAAATTGGTACTATATATACTCTGTTAGGGATACAAAAGAAAAGTGAAGTGCAGTCCTTATTCTAAAGTAGCTTACAATACATGGTTGAGGGGGAAAAAAGACAACTGGAATAACTGTAGAACAAAAAATTACTATGCCTTACAAATAATTTACCTAAAAGGAGTTCAAAACAGCAAGAGTTTGTGGTAGTTCTAAGAGAGATTTGTAATGAAAATGTAGGCTCTGCTGGAAGGAGAGGTAGGGCATTTTCTTTAATTAAGAAATGCTGCCTGATAACTCTTATCATTTGGGACTCACAGTTTAATGTCACTCATCAAATGGGCAAGATTGCCTGACTGCCCAAAGTAGCCTCCCTACTAATCAGTTACTACTGCATTATTTTCTGTGTAATTATTATTACTATCTACAATTACCTTATTTGCTTGTATTTGCCTGTATACGTCTACTAGAATGTGATCTTCACAAGGCTGGGATTTCGTTTATCAATCATATTTTCAGCCCTCAGAACAGTATCTGGCATATTATGCACTACATAAATATTGGCTAATAAATTCCCTCCTGTATCACACCATCAATTATTCCACTTCTCTCTCCAGCATCCTCAACCTTGTCTTTATTGGCACCTTCAATCACACTGAAATATATAAACATCTTCCTTTCCTCTCCTTCAAGCCAGTCTTTATGAATAAGTTGTCTGCATTAATTTTGTCTGCTTCCTCACTTCCTCTTTCCTCAACACACCACAGTCTGGCTTAGATTCCAGTGCATTTTAGTATCTCCTTAAGTGAACAGACACTACTTGGGCTGTATTATTTTGACCCTTTAAAGCATTTCTCCCTTAAATATTCTTACCCCTTGGTCTCAGTGACATCATTTTCCTGGTTTTCCCCTACATCTTTTGGTCCTGTCTTTTTAGTATGCTTTGAGGTTTCTTCTACTCTTGCCTAGTAAGCGACATTGCTCTGGATTCTACTCTTGAGGCTTAATTCTCAACATTTTCTGAGTAGGCTCTACATCTATAGTGTCTACAGATAAAATAGAAACTATATTATTGACGGAACAGATACACAGAGACTATATGGCTAACAGTGTATCACCAACTAAAATAGGTCCAGTGTCCTGTGGGAAAATAAAAGTCTCATGTTCTTGGATGGAACCATGTTTGGCACAAGTTCAAAGATCAAAAAATTGAAAGCAGGTAATACTAAAAATGAGCATATGTGTTCAGTAAAGACTAGAATCCTAATTCACCTGTGGTTTGCCTGTTCGTGAGCCAGCTTTCATTTTCTCCTTGATGCTCCCCATCTGCAGGGCAGAGTCCTTGCAGGGCATATCTGAGGAAGATGAAGGAAAATATTAGGGAGACAAGTTTTGCCCTGGAGCAACTTCTAATAATTATAGTTGTTTTAATATGATATTCACAGGAATTATCCATAGAACTTTGAAAAAAATAATGTCAGGCCCTGCCAGCAATCACAATCTTCAAAGGTCAGGCCTAGATCTTGTATTTTTAAAATATTTTAAATGTGATTCTGATATGCTACCATGGGCTGAGATCTACTGAATCAGAAAGAGGGACAAAATAATATTTTCAGACCTCATCTATGTTTATAGCAGATTCCAAAAAATAACTAATTCTGTCATAACTAAAGCCTAACTACAGCGTAGCCATCACAGGCTGTAATTCTACTTGGAGCTTATAATATTTTATCCAACCAATCCCTTCTTCAAACACTCCAGAGAGAATTCTATCCAAGGATTGTTTTCCTGTAAGTTGCTCTGTGCTTACTATACATAGACCTAAGCAACCTGTCCACCTTGAACTATTGCTTCTTTCAAAACATAAAATTCTGAGGGACAACCAATTCTCTTATCCAGCCATTCAGTGAGAAATTTATCCAAGGGCCACTCTGGAAGATTCATGAGTTACATCAGTGATCCTCAAGTGTCACACTGGTCTGTGAAGTTTTCACTGATTCACGGTGAAATAAAGAGTAGAAACAATGTAGTAAGTTTGTTAAAACATTACATTTATTCAATATAAGGGACTTTCTTTTGATGTTAAAATGTCTTCTAATATGTTAATTATTGATTTAAAAAATGTTTTTACTTAAAAAGAGTTGGCAAATCTGGATCATCTCCACCCCCATTTTTAAAACTTTTAATGAGCTTTGAAACCCCCCAAAAATCTTAAAACCATGCAGTTACATCATAATCAGCATTAATTCTCTATTATAAATGTATAATTGGGTTCAACAATTTAAACAACTGCATAGGGACTTCTTAAAACACATCAGGGCAGGCCTGGTGGCTCACACCTGCAATCCCAACACTTTGGGAGGCCATGGTGGGAGGAATGCTTGAGCCTAGCATCCAAGACCAGCCTAAGCAACATAGGGAGATTCCTTCTCTGCAAATAATAATCATAATAAATTAGCCAGGTGTGGTGGTGTGTGCCTGTGGTCTCATCTACTTGGGAGGCTGACGCAGGAGGATTTCCCGAGCCTAGGAGGTAGAGGCTGCAGTGAGTGGTGTTCGCACCACCACACTCCAGCCCTGGTGACAGAATGAGACCCTGTCTGAATAAAAGCAAACAAAAATCCAAATTTCTCAGCAACATACCGTGTGAATGCTGCAAATATTATGGTCTGTTAACTTTTTTTTTTTTTTTTTTAAAGAGGGTCTTGCTCAGTCCAGGCTGGAGTGCAGTATGGCACAGTCACACCTCACTACAATCTCAAACTCCTGGCCTCAACCAATCCTCCTGCCTCAGCCTCTTGAATAGCAAGGACTACAGGCATGTGCCACCATACTTGGATAATGTTTTTTTTTTCTTTTTTTTTCTTTAGAGACAGGGTCTTTCAATGCTGCCCAGGCTGGTGTTGAACTCTTGGCCTCAAGTGATCCTCCTGCCTCAGCCTCCCAAAGAGTTGGGATTACAAGTGTGAGCCTGGTCCTGAGATCTGTTAACTTTATTCAGGTCTGTACACTTTGTGGAATGTCAATCTGCTCAATTCCATAATCTTTAGGACAATCAATACAATGTTGTTCCTTGTTCTTGACATTCTTGGAAATACCTGAGGTATCTTGGAAAGGTGCAAATCTCTCCAATCAGCTATCCTATTTATTGCTCTCTCTGAATGTCCTTTTCTTCCCTTACTTCTTCCCTGCTGACCTCCCCTTCTTGAAGTTTTACCGTCATGTTTTCTGAAACCCTCATTCCATTCAAAGAAAAATCTATATACATTCTCAAGTTCTTTACAGACTCTTCCTTCTCCCTTGCTAAATGGATCTTGGCATCATCAAAGGCACCTTTTTCTATCCTCTAAGCACTACGATCTTGGAAATTGTTCTGATCTACTTGTACCTCCCTTCCACTTCCTAGTATTTTCTCTCATGCAAAAATATTTCTTACTAGTCTATGCCATTTAGCTATACTGTTCTTGATGCTGTAATATATTAAGCTATTGCGCATTCATTTTTTCAACACATATTTACTATCTCCTATGTGCGAGATACACAAATACCTGCCCTCAGAGAGCCTAATGTACTGTGAATGACCAACACTAAAGTAATTGTACTAGGCCAATAAAAACTTCAGTTACTTGCTTCACATTGTTGCTTTTCACCCCAAATCCTGACAGTCTTTTAATAGGTTGCTTCAACACTGACACAGACACCCCTTCCAGCAACCCAGACTGATAGACCTTTGACTTTCTTATCTCTAATGACCATCAGCAAACAATCTACTTCCTTGCTCATACTCTGGTCTTTATTACTTAGAACTATCCTGCCATGAGTATAAAATTGGATAAATCAATAGCTAAATGCATCTTCCTATCCTTTCAATTTTTACTTCCTTGCTTTTTGTATATTCTCCAACTTTTATCAGAGTCCCATTACACTACATTGATTCTTTAATTTTCTCCCATTCTATCGTGGCTCTAGTGAAGTCACTTCATTCTCTATTAAGCTTAGAATTTAAGTTTAAAAAAAGGCAAAATTCACATAATATAAAATTCACCATATTAGCTATTTTAAAGAATACAATCCAGTGGTTTTTAATACATTCATAATGTTGTACAATGATCACCACTATCTAATTCCAGAACATTTTCATTACCAAGAAAGAGCCCCATATTAATTTAGGAGTCACTCTCATACACACTCCCTTTCCTTATACTGTCTCTACGAATTTGCCTATTCTGGACATTCCACATAAATTGAATCATATAGTATGTGACCTTTTGGGTCTGACTTCTCTCACTTAGCATGTTTTGGAGGTCCATCCATTTTTTTTTTAACATGTATCAGTACTTCATTCTTTTTTATGGCAGAATAATACTCCACTGTATGTATATAGCAAAGTTTATTCATTCATTAGTTGATGGACATCTGGGTTGTTTCCACTTTTTAATGTGAATATGTGTCTTCAATTTTCTGGGGTATATGGTAATTCTATGTTTAATTTTTTGAGGAACCACCAAAGTGTTTTTCACAGTGGCTGAACCAGTTTATATTCCCAACAACGATATACAATTCCAAACAATTTCTCCACATCCTAGCTAACCCTATTCGTTTTCCTTTTGTAATTATTATAGCCATCCTAGTGGGTGTTGTTATGGTTTTGAGTTGCAATTCTCTAATGACTAATGATCCTGAACATTTATTCCTATACTTTTTGGCCATTTGTATATCTTCTTTGGAGAAATATCTATTCAAGTCCTTTGTCCATTTAAAAAACTGTTCCTTATCTTGTTATTGAATTGTAAGAGTTCTTTATATTTTCCTGATATTGGACCCTTATCAGATATATGATTTTCAAAATGTTTTTTCTCATTCTGTAGGTTTTTCGCTGCCTTGATGGTATCTTTTGATGCACAAAAGTGTTAATTTTGATGGTCTAATTTATCTATTTTTTCTTTTGTTGCTTGTATCTTTGGTGTCATAGCTAAGCATTGATTACCAAATTTAAGGTGATGAAGAGTTATTTCTATATTTTCTTCTCAGAATTTTATGATTTTGGCTCTTATATTTAGACAATTGACCCATCTTGAGTTAATTTTTGTACATGATATGAGGTAAGGCCCCTACTCCAATCTTTTGCATATGGAAATCAAGGGGTCCCAGCAATATTTGTTGAAAAACTATTATTTTCTCATTTAATGCCTTGACACCCTTGTCAAAAATTAACTGGACATAGATGTATGAGTTTATTTCTGGACTCTTAATTCTATTCCAGTACGACATAGCTTTGATTATTGCAGCTTTTTAGTGAGTTTTGAAATTGAGAAGTATACATTCTAAAACTATCTTCTTTATGAAGGCAGTTTGACTATCTTGGGTCCTTTCCAATTCCTTATGAATTTTAGGATCAGCTTGTCCATTTCTGACAAAAAAAAAAAAAAAAAAAAAAAAGCAGCTGAGATTTTGATAGGGATTGCATTTGAATCTGTAGATTGCTTTGGGGGAGTGTTATCTTTATGATATTAAGTTTTCCAATACATGAACGCAGGATTTACTTAGGTCTTTAATTTCAACAATGGTTTGTACTTTTCAGCAGACAAGTCCTACACCTCTATTTTTGACATATTATAAATGAAATTATTTTCTTGGTTTCTTTTAAGGGTTGTTCATTGCTATAGGCACATAACCTATTTTTGTTGACTTTGCATCCTGCAACTTTGAGTTTATTAGGTCTAATAGTTTTTTACTGGGTTCTTTAGGATTTTGGATATATAAGAGTATAACATCTGCCAGTAGAGATAGTTTTACTTCTTCCTTTCCAATCATGATACCTTTTCTTTTTTTCTTGCCTAATTGCACTAGCTAGAACGTTTAGTATGACATTGAATAGAAGTGGCAAGAGTGGACATTCTTGTCTTGTTCCTGATTCTAAGAACAAAGCTTTCACTTTTTCATCAAGTTTATCAAGTACAATGTTAACTGTGGGTTTTTCATAAATGTCCTTTGTCAGGCTGAGTGAGTTCACTTCTAGTCCTTTTTTTTTTTTTGGTCATAAAAGGGCATTGGATTTTGTCAGATGCTTTTTCTGCATCAATTGAGATAATCGTGTAATTTTTCCCCTTTCACTGTATTAATATGATGTACAGCACTGATATATTTTCATTTGTTGAACCATACTTGCATTTCTGGGATCAATCCCACTAAGTCATTTTGTATAGTCCTCTTAAAACGCTATTGGATTTGGTTTGCCATTTTTCTTTTGTTGTGATGTCTTTGTCTGGCTTTGGCATCAGATTAATACTTGCCTCACAGGATAACTTAAGAAGTGTTCCTCCTATTTTTTGGAAGAGTTTGAGAATACTGGTGTTAATTTTTCAAAAGTGTAGTAGAATTTACCAGTGAAGCCATATCATCTTTGAGTTTTCTTTGTTGAAAGTTTAAAAATAACTAAACCAGTCTTTTGTTATTGCTGAGTTGAGTTCAGATTTTCTATTTCTTCTTCAGTCAGTTTTGGTCATTTGTGTTTTTGGAATTTGTGAATTTCATCTAAGTGCATCTAATTTGTTGGCATTTAATTGCTCCTAGTATTCTCTTATGAGCCCTTTCATTTTATGCAAAGTCAGTAGTATTGTCCCCACTTTTCCTGATGTTAGTAATTTGAGTCCTTTTTTTCTTGATCAGTGTAGCTAAACCTTTGTCAGTTTTGCTGATCTTTTCAAAGTACCAACTTTCAGTTTTGTTGGTTCTATTATTTTTGTGGGCTCCACATCATTTATCTTTGTTCTAATATTTATTTTCTTTCTTCATCTGGCTTTTAGGTTTTCTTTTTCTAGTTCCTTCAGGTGGAGGGTTGAGATCTTTTTAATGTAGGCATTTATAGCTACAATTTGAGCCATGCCTTCACTGTATGTCATAAGTTTTGGTATGTTGTATTTTTGTTTCCATTTCTCAAAATATTTTTTCATTTCCTTTGTGCTTTCCTTTTTGACCCACTGATTATGTGACTGTTAATTTCCACTTATCTGTGAATTATCCAGATTTCCTTCTGTTACTGATTTCTAATTCTGCTATAGTTGGAAAAGATACTTCATGAGATGTCAATCTACTTAAATGTACTGAAACATGTTTTTTAGTCTAACATTTGGTCTATCCTGGAGACTATTCCATGTATACTTGAAAATGTATCTTCTGTTGTTTTTTGGGTAGAACGCTCTGTATATTTGTTAGTTCAAGTCAGTTTATGGTGTTTCTCAAGTCTTCTATTTCCTTTTTAATCTTTTTTTCTAGTATTTCTGTTAATAAAAGTGGAGTGAAATCTCCAATTATTATTCTTGATCTATTTCTCTTTCACTTCTGTATTTGCTTCATATATTTTGAGGCTCTAACTGTTGTAGTTATTGCTCATTTAGTAACTTTTGAACTAATTTTGTAAACTCTATATGCTATGTTATGTTTACCTGCATGAATCTGTTCCCTCAGCTTACTGGTCAGCTTGTGATACCACAGAGATTTCCTTAAATGCCTTGAAACATAAAAACAATATCAAAAACAAAAACCATCAACTGGTCTCTGCAGATGCATTGTGTGTATTAGGGCACACTCACTCAGACACTTTTAACTCTATGTTATTCTTCACTTCTTTCTTGTGTAGCACTTGAAGGTCAGCTAGAGATAAGAGTTAGGGCTTTCTCAGGTCTTTCTGAACATGTCTTCAATCTTCCAGATTTTCAGATATACATGCGAGCTTTCAAAATCCCTTATTCCCTCAAAGCATATCATTCTCCAGCATCCCAACTGTTATTTATTATCTCAGACAGCAGTAGCTAATACATTTTCCATGAAATGTTTTTGAAAAATACCCCCAGGTAGCCACCTCAGTACTGAGTGACTTTTGAACTAGGTAAAATAAAGGCAAGCCCTATGAGCAGGTTTTTCAGAGAGCCACCAGACAAACCAAAGAAACAACCAAAAGCCTTTCTTCAGTTCTGTATTACCCTGCAACCTCTCATTTGCCTTTTCTGCTAGATTTCTCAAGAATAGGCTATAATGATCACATTCCCACCTCATACCTATTTTTTTTAACCCACATGATGGGCAGAATATCAGCCCACAAAGATATCCATGTCTTAGTCCTTGGATACATAGCAAGAGAGACTCTGCAGATGTGATTAAAGTCAAGGACCTTAAGATGAGGGAGATCATCCTGAATTATTCAGGTGATCACAACCTAATTACATGAATCCTGAAAAGTGAGGAACCTTTTCCAGTGTGGTGAGACAGTGAGAAGCACCATGAGTGAGCAAGAGCTATGACAACAGAATAAAGTATTAGAGATGTGGCAGTGTGAAAAGGACTTGGCCCATTGTTGCTAGCTTTGAAGACAGGGGAAGGGGAACATAAGCCCCAGAAAGAAAACGGTACCACCACTACCTTGATTTTAGCTGAGGGAGACCCGTGTTGGATCTCTGATGTACAGGCTTGTAGAATAATATATTCATGTTGTTTTAAGCCACCAAGTTTGTGGTAATTTATTATAGTAGCAATAGAAAACTAATATAACTCACTACAAATAAGCACCCCTCAAATCTGCTAAAACTGCTCAAACTAAACCTCAAAATTCCTCCTAATCAACAATTTCAATGAATTATTTTTAAAATTCATCTTAATGTGACCTTTTTGTTATACCATTGTTGAACATTAACTTCTTGAAAATTTCTCCTTTCTTAACTCAGATACCAATCTTTTCTGGTTCTCTGATTTCCTACATTATTACTTTCCAGGCTGCTTATCAAGCTTCTCTTCTTTTGCTCATTAAGAAAATTTTTAGACGAAGACTAAATATAACCACAATACCAATATAATCACTGTCCCCAATCGATAATTCCTCATCAGATATCCAGTTCATGGCCTCATGTCTTATAAGGTCCACACATTCACATGATTTTAAAAACTTAAAAGATGTATAACTAATCTCTATATCACTTTGCCATACTCCTCCCTATTCCCTTAAAAACTGGACTGTCTTATAGTTTCCCAGTTTGGATTTTACACATGGTATTATCACGGTATAGTTTAACATGTTCCACTATCCTCTGTATTTCCTGTAACTGATAGCTAGACCAGCTTTTTTTTTTTTTTTTTTTGAGATGGAGTCTAGCACTGTGGCCCAGGCTGGAGTGCAGTGGCGCCATCTCGGCTCACTGCAAGCTCCGCCTCCTGGGTTCACGCCATTCTCCTGCCTCAGCCTCCCTAGTAGCTGGGACTACAGGTGCCCGCCCACCACCATGCCCGGCTAATTTTTTTTTTGTATTTTTAGTAGAGACGGGGTTTCACCATGTTAGCCAGGATGGTCTCGATCTCCTGACCTCGTGATCTGCCCGCCTCGGCCTCCCAAAGTGCTGGGATTACAGGCGTGAGCCACCGCACCTGGCCTAGACCAGCTCTTCAATATTGATGCTCCCTAAGGATTTGTATTTCTCCTACTTCTGTGTTCATACATATAAGCTTCCAAATCTTCTCTTTCTGAACACTGAAGCTTGTTAACTATATATTGGTTTATTCATTGTGAAAGTCCCACAGGGACCTCAAATAAAACTTGCCACATAATTAAAGTATTACACCTTCTCCCCCACTCCCAAATTCCACTCATGCAGGCCAGTACATGTGAATTTATGTCAAAAGGTATCCTATTTATACGTTTATAATTCCTCTAGGTTCAAACTCCTGCTTTCCCAAAGCTCATTCTCTAACACCTAATCTATCACAATAGTCTAACTGGTTTTCCTATTTTCAGAACCCTCAGATCTCTCTCCTTTACAGGAGATGTCGGTAAACTTTTTCTGTAAAGGGGCAGATAACAAATATTTTAGACTTTGCAGACAGTACAGTCTCTGCTACAAGTACCAACTCTGGTCATAGCACAAAAGCAATCATAGACAAAATGAAAATGGACATAGCTATGTTCCAATAATACTTTATTTTAAAAAATATTTGGCCTGTGTGCCATATTTTGCCAACTCCTGCTCTAAATTGATGTCAACATAATATTTTTAACTGGCAAATCAAACTGTCTCACTCCCCTACCCAATCTGTGAGATCTAATTCTCTATTTCTATTACCTACAGAATAAAGTCAAGGCTTCCTAATAGAGTAATATAAAGTCCTTCAAGATCTGGCACTTGATACTCTCTGGCCTCAAAAAAAGATAATTTCTCTTTACATGGGAAAGGTCAAGTATTTTACCTCTAATTTCTTTATATTCTTACCTTCATCTTCAAGCATTTCAATCACATCTTCTATGAGGGTCACCATATCTTTACTGTTGTTTGGATGTTGTAAATTCACCCAAGTCCTGACTTCTTCAGGCAGGATTGCCAGGAATTGTTCCAGCACCAACAGTTCTATAATCTGCTTCTTTGTATGAATCTCTGGTCTCAGCCATTGAAGACAGAGCTCCCAGAGTTGGCTCAGGGCTTCATGGGGCCCAGACACTTTCAAATACTGGAAATGTCTGAACTTTTGACGAGATGCCTCAGAGTCATGTGTCTCCACGACGGGGTTGGTTTCCTGCTGCCAAGACATATCTGCTCTCAGAACCTCTCTTTGTTCACGTAGAGACAGGTTTCGAGGTTTTGAGATAGCCATCAACTTGCTCAGAGGCTGCATCTTCCTAAATAGAACTCCCACAGTAGTTCAAATCCGCCTTACTAGATTGCAGTAATTCTCAGGCTTGAGCTAAGCACCTGTGTACTATATGCAGTGTGATTTAAGCCAAGTTATTTCACGGTAAGGAGGAAAGTTCCAGAAACTTTAGACACAAAGCCAATATTCAGGTACCTGAGCAACTGAAAAAAGATAGAAATTAACCCACAGGGAACAAACATCTATTAGCATAGTGTTAAAACACAAATATTATTAAAATTGCCTAAGAAAAATGCATATTATGGATTCTCCTATTTTTATTTTCCTTTCTTAGAACTAGAAAATATGCTTTCCCTTTCTCCTAACCAGTTTCCCAAAGGACAAAGAAACACACACGAATAGACATCCCAAAACAAATGATGAAGAGTCCTTTGATTTAAAAAAACTTCGTAATTGAATTACAATTAGATTTATTCTATATCAGGTAGCAAATCATTTTTACCTTAAAATTAAGCAACACAAATCTTCAGGTAGGATATTAAGGTTTCAGAATAGATATGACTGAAAAACCTTACCCAAAGTTCTCTTTAAAATGCCAATAAAATTCTATGAGTAAAACTGACAATAGCATTAGAAATTAAGGTAAGAGACAATTGTTTAAAATATACTAGAATAATATCCATAAACTATTATTAGGAATAAATCAAAAAGTGGATTCCCAGACTACAATGAAAAGTTTATATTTGTTAGGAGTTACTATGGAGAATTACGCAATGCCCACCAGGGATGTCTTAGGCGCAACTGAACATTTAGACTTGCAAGACTACCATAGGTCATATTTGGCACCAATTTACTCAGAAGGCAAAAAACAACTTGCTAGCAGAAGAATAATATGCACTTTTCTTCAGTGTGAGTCTTTGCAGAATTTAGCTCAAGTACAGGGAGATGAGACCCATAAACGTGGTGTAGGAAACACTCTGACTCAAAAGAATTCCCCCAGGAGCCAGTATCTCTCATAACAACTGAGCACAACTTTATGGGTTGTCTCAAAGAGCCTGCCAAATTATAGGAGTCACTACATTCAGGGATGTCCAGATACAACTTTCTATTTGATTTACAGTTCTCCAAGTCCAGATGCAATTTACTATTCAGGTGTCACTTTTATTATGATTATCTAAGGTCAGTGGTTCTCAGTCAGGATATTTTACCAACAGGGGAAATCTGGCAATGTTTAGAAACAGTTTTGACTGTTACAGCTAGAGATTGTACCTGGCCTCTAGGAAGTCAAAGCCAGGGATGTTGTTAAATATCCTACACAGGATAGTCCCCTATAGCAAAGAATTACCCAGTCCAAATCGTCAATAATTCCAAGGTTTAAAAACTCTGCTATAGGCAATATATAAATGAGACTACATACTTTGGAGTCATAGATACATGAGTTTCTATCCCAGATGTACTAGTTACTATATGTATAAAGCTGAGCAAATTATATTAACCCAAGTTTGCATTCTCAACTGTAAAATGGATATAAAAATATCTGATCAAATTATAGGGATTAAAAGAGCTATCATCTCATTTCTTGACACACAGTAAGCTCTCAGTAGATCATATGCACACATGTATGTTACAATGTTAGATCTTACATATTGGCCAAAAGTTTGTGTGACCTTGTCCATGGCAATGCCTGCCTGCACAGATCATTCAACATTCAAATAAGTATCAGCGCACAGAGTAGGGGAAGGATACACAGAACTATGAAAAGACAGTTTAATGGCAGATGAGTGGTAAGAGCCAGGTTTCTCAATGTTTGACTAGAAATTTACAGAAAACCAAGGGAAGGAGACTAGAATGATCCATGTGATAATGGATTAGAGTTGGAGACCTAAGTGTGAACTTGTATTTGGCTGAATTAGATGAAGATGGTTACATAAATATTTACAGATATGTATATATACATAAATTAGTATAAACACACATTTCCTTGCTGTGTTGGCTAAGTAGGTCTAGAAGCAAGAACAGCCCAGCAGCAAAAGAATAATTAGCTCCCAGATCTTGGTTTCTAATACCATTCTCCAATAGGAACCAGGATTTCTTGGAGAAATGGTTGATTCTAGGACTGAGGCTCATGCAACATAAGCATGGGGCATCTTGTACTGCCAGAAAGTAAAGAAATGCTCAAAAAATTAAAAAAAAAAAAAAGAAACTGAAACATTTATTGGGGCACATCAAAGGTACACAGGAGCCAAATGAAAGAGCTCCTTATGGCCAAATCTGGAACAATATAAGCAACAGAATATTAGATAATTCAAACAATTAAATTAATACTCATAAGGCAGTGATATAAATGGCAACTTATTAATACATGGGGGAGAGTAAACAAATCTCCTATGCAGAAAAATTCCAAATAATTTATGCAAATTCTCAGCCATTCACGAGGTACAGCATAACTCCCCACCCCTTGAGTATGGGCTCTGCATAGGAATTTCCTGCCAAAGAGGAAATGCTGTGGGGTGGGGGGAGGGGGAAGGTAAATTTACAGTGGAAAAACCTGACAAATACCATCTCAGCCAGGTGATCAAGATTAACATTAATAGCGATAAGTCATGTTGGCAGTATGTAGCCTCGAGACAATGTGATAAAATGGCATTTTGCCTCTGTGATCTTCCTGCTCTAAACCCATAACCCCAGTCTAATAATGAGAAAAACATCAAATTCCAACAGATGGTTCTCCATACTTAACCAATACCTCCTCATAATTGTAGCATGATCAGAAACAAGGAATGTCTGAGAAACTGTCACAGCCAAGAGAAGCCTAAGGGGGCATGACAACAGAATGTAATGTGGTATACTGGATGGATTCTACATCAGTAAAAAAGACATTAGGTAAAAATTAAACTTGAATAAAGCATGGACTTTAGTTAATGTAGTATTATTAATTGTAAGAAATGTTCTATACTAATACAAAATGTTACTAATAGGAAAAATTAGTGGAGGGGTATATGGACACTCTGTTGTACTGTCTTCTCTATTTTCCTGTAACTTTATCCAATTTATTTAGAAACTTTTTTTCTCTGTGAATGCAAGCTCCCCAGAGGATTTCCCACAGCAAGTGGAAAGCCACAGAGGCAGGTGCCTTCTGGCTTGAAAGATCCCATCTAGGTTGTCATGGCCAGGGGAGGAAAAGGGTAATGGTGCCTTTCATGGGCTATTCCTGGGTCTCGCGGGATAGAAAATTGCTTCCAGTTGCCCTGAAACAAGTGCTTCCTGTAATGAATCCCTCTGGAGTACTCCTTGACATCTCCCCAAACTCATAACAAAAGACCATCTTTCTCCTCATTCGCAGCTGCCAAGGCCCACCGTCAATACAACAGACTGAAAACCCGCCACAACTGTTGACATCCACGACCCTCCTGATCTGGCCTCATTAGCTCCACTTTTGAGCCACCAGCCAAGAGAGAGCTCTTAAATATGACTGGTGGAATAGTCCTGAAGTAGTATAATTTAGTCCAACAAAAAAATGAACTATGGGCCCAGATACTTTGAAAGTAACATAAATGGAGAAAGAAAAAATAAAAGCTCACAGGCCATATGTCAAAGACAAAACAGAAAAGGCTTTATACTAAAAAGTAAAAATAACAGAGATGTTAATTGCAACAATAAATGTACCGGGTAAAAATTTAAACTCAAACTACATAAAACTCAAAAGACATCCGAAACGAGAACTCCAAAACTAAATGTAAAAGAATTTTTAAAAAATACCAGGCAAACAAAAAATATTCAAGAGTTTAGTGAATTAAAATTATAATGAATTAAAAGCACAAATACATTAGAGGAAACTAAATGATTATAACTCATAATGAAATATAACTCATTAAATGTACAACATACTTGAAACATTTTTGGCAAAATTCTCAGAAAACAAGAAATGAAGTCAACAGTGATACAATAGAAATGGGATATTAGGTAACTTTCTCAGACTCTGACAGATAAAGTCAAAAAAGTAATAGTATAGTGGATATAAATAATATGCTTAGCCTAATAGATAAATAAAACTAGATAAAATGTAGTTTCTATTCAAGCACCTAAGGGAATGTTTACAAAAGCAATTTATTAGGCTACCAAATAGAAAATCCTTGATAAATGGTAAACAAGAGTAGTGGAAACCATATTTATTACTAGAATGCAAAACCAGAAATTAACACCACATAGAAAAAACAATTTCACCTACTTTAAAATTCAAATGTTTGCTTCTAAAAAAAAAGATAAAAGAGAATCAAAAGGACAACTGCAAAGTATCTAAAAACAGTAAAAACATTGTACGTCAAAATCTAAAGCGCACAGCTGAAGCTCCTGATAGGCAATGGAAAAGCCTTACATATAATTAAACAAGAATGAGATGCATTAAATATCCAACTCAGGAAATAAAAAAAAAGCAACAAATATACTGGGAGGTTTGTAGGTGAAAAACACAAATTAATGAATTACTCACTGTAAACAGTTACAGAGCTAGGACAGGGAGAGACGTTCAGGATGGCATGCTGCATTTAGGTAAGATTTCCGAGGTGGAATAGTTTTGATGATAGAGATCCAAGGTGTGACGTGACTGCAAGTAGCTTAAGTGGCAAATGATGAACACTGGAATATACAAAGCCAGGAAATATAACAGTTAAACTCTAAAGTACTGAATAGATGCCTCTGATATAAAGGTGGGATTCAGGATTAAGACACGGAGCCAGTACCACTGTGACGGAGGGACCTGAAGTTGTAGTGGATGGTTAGACTAATATAACCAGGTGGCACCAGTTCTACGGTTTTATGGCCGCAAGGAACTCGAACAGCTGCTAATTATGGAAAAAAGGTACTGTCTGTGAAGAGGGTTATTTCTAATCAAACAGGTTGTAGGTAGGACAGCTGCTTGAGGTAAGAACCACCTGGCGAGAGTAGCTTAGATAAAGAGGAACAGAAAACAGTTTGCAAATAAGTGACTGAATAGAAGTCATTTATGTTAAATGGAGAAAGAATTATTTTAAAATAAGTACGATACTTGGAGGTTTTAATCTTTTAGGGAGGTGGCCAGGAATGACTGGGAAAACAAGGCAATATGAATTAATTAAAACTCCATTGTCTTTCCCAGTTGATTGATCCAGTCACGCTTGGTTTTTCCATGAGGCATCAATACCAGCCATTCCCAAACCAGCTGATCATAACATACTAACCACTCTGCGCGTCTGGAGACTGCCCCTATTGCAGAGTGGAAGAGGCGACAGGAGTGTGGTTAAATCCTTGCTTTAGCGGAGCTGGATCCTGACCCCAGCCGTCCCGCCGCCCACCCCCTCGCCCTCTGTCGCTGCTCTCAACGCTTGTCTTACTTCCGCAGCCCACGTTTCCATCCCTCCCGTCAGCTCGCGCCCTCCTCCAGGTTTTCCGGCACAGACCTTGGAGGGCAGCGTGGAAACTGGGTAACTGCAAGCAAGCTGAGGTAAGCTGCACGTTCCGCATGGACGCCCTCAAGCGTGATTCCCAATTCCAAGACCCCGCGTCCCCACCGCCCGCTGACGAGAACGATACCCGTGAGCACCGCTCCTCTCCAGTGGCCCGTTCAGTCACTCACAAGCGCCAGTTCTCAGAGGAGCCGCGGAATCGCTGTCTTGGACAGTGAAGGGAGCTGGCGTTGGTAATCACGCTGCAACTAGGAATCCCTGACCTCGCCGAACCCTCAACTCACTGCCGGCTCCGAGTTTCATAAATTGCCGCGGAACAACCTCGACGCACTCTTGCGCACGCGCACCAGCTGTGGAAGGAACCCCCTAGGAGCCCCCGCGACCCGGATCGGTGAGGTAGACCAGGCCTTTGCCAGCCCCGTCCCTTTCTGCAGGCCCCGTCCCTTTCTGCAGGCCCCGCCCACGCCGCACACTTGGAACTCTGGCCCTGTGAATGGACTCACGGTGAGCTTCTAGTGGCTTAAAGAAATGAGCGTCATACTTCCGGCGCTGCCTCATCCCGTCCGGGGAAACTAGTCCAAATCGCCTTTCTGTTCCCCACACCCCATTTGTCTGGAATCAAAAAACAATGACAATTTCGACAAGACATTGTCTCTTACATGGTCTTTATTGGTTTATTGGTTCACAGATTCATTCATTCAGTTTTGTATGGAAGTGAGAGGGCTTGCAGTTCGTTGTTCAGTTTTGGCTTGTTAAGACTGAGGTACTTTGTGGCATCTGAGAAGCATTGTCAATTAGGCATTTGGATGTAGGCATTTGGGAATTTAGAGATGTCTGGGGCTAGACCTGTAAAATTTGGGTCAATCTGGGTAGATGGTGATTGATGCTATCCATTGGAATAGGACTGCAGAGAAAGGGACAGAGAGGAAGAGAGAAAATAGAAGGAAATGGGCTGGAATTGGCCCAGGGAACACCAACACCATTGGTTGAGTCAGGAAGGCGGACCTGCAAAAAAGAGAGAGGAGGATCAGCCTGAGAGGTAGGAGGAAATCTGGTGGGTGTGGAGACACAGAGGGAAGGGATGTGTGTGTCACAAAGGAGAGAATGCTTGGTGGCATTAAGTACATGATAATATGATTAGTGCTTGCCTAGAGGCATGTGGACAGTGCTGTAGGAGCAGAGTGAAAGAACTTAAACCAGAGAGAGCTTTATATCTAGGCCAGGAGTGGACTAAGGTAAAACAAGATGGCAACTTTGAACAGCTAGTGACACAAAAAAACAAGGACACACCATATAGTTTCTTTTATTTCTTTTTAAATAGACCTTATTTTTTAGAGCAGTTTTGGATTTACAGTTTTGGAAAAATTGAGAAGGTAATATACAGAGTTACCTTCTACTCCACAACTAGTTTTCCCTGTTATTACCCTCTTAAATTATTATGGTATATTTGTTACAACTAAGAAAATAAAAATAAAATATAAAAATAAAAAATAAAATAACATTGATACATTAAGTCCACAATACTTTATTCAGATTTCTTATTTTCTTTGCTTTTTTCTTTTCTTTTCTTTCTTTCTCTTTCTTTCTTTCCTTTCTTTCTTCTTTCTTTCTTTCTTTCTTTCTTTTTCTCTCTTGCTTGCTTGCTTCTTTTCTTTCTTTCTTCTTTTTTTGACTGGGTCTCACTCTGTCACCCAGGCTGCCAGGCTGGAGTACAGTGGTGTGACAGCTCACTGCAGCCTGGACCTCCCTGAGCTCAAGTGATTCTCCCATCTCAGCCTCCCAAGTAGCTGGAACTACAGGTGCTTGCCACCATGCCTGGCTAATTTTTTTTTAAATTTATTTTTTGTAGAGATGGATTTTTGCCATGTTGTCCAGGCTGGTAAGGACCAGACTTCTTTAGCTGGTTTATTTGTTTTGTTTTTATCTTTTTTCTTTCCTCTGATGCAGGATCCCAACTGGAATATCACATTACATTTAGTTGTCATGTCTCTTTAGGCTCTTCTGGACTGTGACGATTTCTCATACTTTCCTTGTGTTTCCTAACCTTGGCAGTGTTGAGGAGTACTGGTCAAGTATTTTGTATGATCTCCCTCTATTGGGAGTTTTCTGATATTTTTCCTATGATTAGACTGGAGATGAAGGTCACAGAGATAGAGTGCCATTTTTATTATATCATATCACAGGTACATACTATCAACATGACTTATCATTGTTGGTGTTCAATTTGATCGCCTGACTCAGGTTGTGTTTGTCAGAAGACATTTTTTTTCTTTCCAACAGTGGCAATGGATGCAGCAATATTCAGTTTCCAGAATCAGCAGCTCCGGCAGCAGTGTCCTGTGCTGATGGTGTTGGCAGGTAAATCATGCTTCTAGTGCTGAATGGAAGTCTTGTCCTCATAGAGCCAATTCTGTGGTACAATTTTGGTCTGTGGTTCTGGCTACATGACTCGAATACTATTTCAATATTTTTACGTTTAGCTTAAATCATGCTTAGTTTCTGTTGCTTGAAACTAAAAGCCCTGACTGATACGTCATCATTATGATGATTTCTAGGTGTATGTATTAAGTATGTTTTCATTAGAATTTTTTGTCTTTATTTTCCCCTTCCCTCCCTAGTATGTAGTGGTTTCATGCAGACAGCTTTGTGAAGAAGCCCCATTGGCATCTATTTTGGTGGAATGAGTGGGAACATAATTCTCAGTGTGTCAGTAATCCATTGCTGCATACAGACCATTTCAAACTTTAGTGCTTTAAAATAGCAATCATTTTGTTTTACTCAGGAGTGTGTTTGAAATTTGGTCAGATGGGATGGCAGTTATCATTAACACCAATATTTAAGATATGACCATGGGAATGAGTAGCTGTAATCATTGGAGAAGCGAGGATTAAGGAATCTCAGAATGCAAACTATTTGAATATTTCATTCTATGGGAAAATTAAAATAACCAACAACTATAACACAGGAGCAGTATCTTCAGGAGAGTGGCAGTGAGTCAGGGGCTAGAATCTGCAAGGAATGGGTGGGGGAGTAGCCTAAGCATCTAAAATAAAATAAAATGAATAAAACCCCCAGAATCCCACTTTCCTAACCATACCTCATTTCCTCCTTCTCCCTCATGGTAAAACATCTCCAAATGTCTGTTTACATTTTCTTATTTTTCCTCTATTCACTGAAATAGATCTCATCTAGATCATAACCAGCAGCCAAAGTTACCAAATTCAACTAAAAATTTCTTATCCTTCTCTATATCACCTCAACTAACACATATCATTTGAATGAAGGTTTTTAGTGATTATCATACCCCAGATTAAAGTTTGCCTATTGTGGTACAGTTCCAGTAAATTTTAAAAAGATAGTAAAAAATGTGTATTAATATACGTTATGTCTCAGTCATTACTCTGAGTATACCAAATACACTCAGAGTTGGAGAAGATAAAATGAAGTAAGAGATCAATAGCTGGTTTAAAAATGGACACATGTATACATGAATTAAAGAAGAAAGAAATAAGTACAGCTATTGGATAGTTCTTCACTGGAGGGGACTTCTACACAGTCAATCTGAGGTCTGTGGTTTCTGGACCCCAAGTGCGTGATGGCTGTAGAATAGTTACCATGGAAAACCACCTCTAAACATGTGACTTAGAATCTCCTCTAAACATGTGAATGTTAGAAGTTTTAAGTGAAAGAGCGAAGAGGCTACCAGCCAGTTTATTTGTATTATGGGTTTGTGAGGAACTGAAGTAGACTCTGGAATTGACTATTTTAGAGAAGTTGGGCCACAGTGTGACATGGTGTGCAGGCATTGAAGCCTATGAAGGGGTCACCCCAAATTCTAATTTCTCTTTTATTTTTTAAAGAAATACTCTTTAGGTAAATTGGGCTCATTCAAAAGAGGATGACCAAGATAATACAGGGTACCAAAGCATATTAGATAAAGAAATTGTAAAGAAACTAGTGGGCAGTTGGCAGAGACAATTGAATTTGGGCAAATACAGAAATTGACCTCAGTATGTTCTAGTATTGAAGAATAATGACAATTGCTCTAGGACTAAAACTAGAGAAACTAGATTGAAGATACAGGAAAACTGATTTTGACTTATCATGAGGAAGATCTCTATAATAGTAAAAACTACCTTTATATGAAAGAGAGTGGCCCGAGTAAGGAGCTGTGTCATTCCTGGTTAGGCAAATGCTGAACAATTATTTGATGAGATATTATGAAATAATTTAAGCCTCAGATATGTGGTTGGATTATTTTACTATTGAATTCCCTTTTTACTCTGATAGTCTATGCTTACACGAAATTTGAGGTGATTATATAAAATTTTGGGGGGTTTTCAGGAGAGATCATGAAGAACTAGGAAGTATTATTTCCTCTGGTACCTTTTCACAAGCTGAAGTGCTCTAGGATCTAATGAACCCAGTATTAAAGACTCTTACAGATATTTTAATTGTTTTAATCAGAGCCTATTCTAAGGTTTGTATGCTGAAGACATACAAACTTGAGATATCTTTGATGTTAGAATTATGCTTGCAATTTGTATTAGCTGTTATTTCAGAATAATCTGGTTGAAACCTCCTAGATTCAATTGTGACTGTGCTTAAAACATGCCATGGCAGCTGAATTAACTACAAACTCCTCACAGTAGCACCCAACACCTTTTACAATCAAGAAATGACCTAACTTTTCATGCTTTTATTTTTTCCCTATGTTCTAGTTTAGATTGTAGTATTCACAGTTTTTAGAACATGTTCATTTTCACACTTCTTCCTGAAATAACCTAATTCATAATTGCCTACTAAAATCTTGCTCCTTTTTAAAGAATGTTGCCATAGCTCTAAAAGTCAGACTCAGAGGTCACTGCCTATGAGAGAAGCACTTTCTCCCAACTAGTTTCCTGAGAGCCCCTTTGACATCTTTGTTCCTCAAGCTATAAATTATGGGGTTCAACATTGGAGTCACCGCTGTATAGAACACAGATATCATTTTATCCAGTTCTTTTGTAGTCTTGGAGTTTGGTCGCATGTAGGTGAATATTCCTGACCCATAGAAGAGGACAACAACAATAAGATGGGAGCCACAGGTGGAAAAAGCCTTGAGTCTCCCTTCCCCAGACTGCATCTGGATAACAGTGGAGATAATATTCCAATAAGAACCAAGAATCAGGGAGACAGGGGCCAGGAGGATTACCACGCCCATTGAAAAGATGGCCATTTCTGTGCTGTAAGTGTCTATGGAAGCCAGCTTCAGGAGGGCAGGAGGTTCACAAAAGTAGTGATTGATTATATTCTGTCCCCAGTAGGGAAGATGGAAAGTAAAGCTGGTATCTACTAAAGACACTAGTGCCCCACTGGCCCAGGACCTGAAGGACAGCCAGAGACACACCCGTTGTGTCATGATGGTAGAGTAGTACAGGGGCTTGCAGACAGCCACATACCGGTCATAGGACATCACTGCCAGCAGCGCACACTCTGTACACCCAACCAGAAGAAAGACAATTATCTGTGTCATACACCCATAAAAAGAAATGGTTTTCCTCTTTACCAAGAAGTGAACCAACACTTGAGGGACAATGCTAGTAGAGAAACAGAGATCTGCAAAGGAGAGATTTCTAAGAAAAAAATACATGGGAGTGTGAAGGCGAGAATCCAGGAAGATGAGAATGATGATGAGCTGGTTTCCAAGCACGGTCAGCAGATAAATGATGAGGAAAAGGATAAATAGCAGGATCTGGGTCTGCAAGTCCTGTGAAAGACCCAGGAAGATAAACTTGGACACAAAGGTTTGGTTTTCTTCTCCCATTGATATTTTTGCCTGTTTACCTGTTTGGCACAAGAAAAAAGAACACATTTTTTTGGGTCTGTGACATCAAGTCTTGTAGAAGAGGGTCATGTTAAAACTGACACCTAGTTGAGTATTTCTAGCTCTTTGCTATCTAGCTTGTTCTAATTAACAATAAATATATATATTTATTATTATTAGTTGGTTGCAATTTAAACCAACTTAGTTATTTTCCAAGTCCTCTCTCCACAGTGCCGCTTTTTAATAGATAAAGTATGATACTGTGAAAGCCCTCTTGGCTAGTTCTGATGTAAGGATGTTAGAGTTCATGTGGATTTTACTAACTGGCTATAAATATACTGTTAGGAAATGACTGTATATACTGTTAGGACTATCCTTATGCAGAAAACTCTACCACTAACTATTTAAAATACGACATATTTAATTATAACACATACTTCAAAACTGTGAAGCAGTTTTCAGGAATCAAACTTAATTTGACCTATTAAGAAGCAACAGACTTTTGCTGGATTTAAAAGTAAAGCCTTAGCTATACTACACTAAAGGCCAAACTATTTGGATTAAGAAATAAGATATTAAAATTAAAGCAATACAAAAAGAAAAAATAAGTTAAAATTGTTGTGATACTTGGATAGGACCAGACTTGAAAAACACAAATACTTTCTAAGAAACCATGGAGAAAAATATATGCAGAATTTGCCACACAAATGGAAAGACTTCTGTGAGATAATAGTATCATAAGATAAGCCACAAACTGAGAAAAATATTGGAGAGAGGTATCAGAAAAAAAATTTAAATAATTTTATTTTTCTTCAACTTTTATTTCAGAATTAAGGTACACATGCAGGTTTGTTACAAAGTTTGGAGTACAAATGCTAAGGTTTGGTGTACAAATCAATCTGCCACCCAAGTAGTGAGCATAGTACCCAAGAAGTAGTTTTTCAGCCGTTTACCCCCTTACTCTCCCCACTCTAGTCATCCCCAGAGTCTGTCGTTCCCATCTTTATGTCAATGTGTACCCAATGTTTAGCTCCCACTTACAAGTAAGAACATGTGATATTTGGTTTCCTGTTCCTGCATTAGTTCGCTTAGGATAATGGCTTTGAGCTGCATTCATGTTGCTGTGAAGAACATGATTTCATTCTTTTTCATGGCTGCATAATATTCCATTGTGTATATGTTCCACATTTTCTTTATCCAGTCCACCACTGATGGGCACCTGGGTTGATTCCATGTCTTTTTTATTGTGAATAGTGCTGTGATGAACATATAATTGTGTGTGTCTTTTTGGTGGAATGATTTATTTTCCTTTGGGTGTATATACAGCAGTGGGATTGTTGGATCAAATATTACTTTAATTCTTAGTTCCTTGAGAAGTCCCTAAACTGCTCTCCACAGTGGCTGCACTAATTTACCTTCTACTAACAGCGTATTAGTGTTCCCTTTTTTCTGCAGCCTCACCATCATATGTTATTTCTTGACTTTTTGATGAAAGCCATTCTGATTGGTGAAAGATGGTATATCAGTAACAGACCCACAGCCAACATCTTACTGAATGGGCAAAAGCTGGAACCATTCTGACTGAGAACTGGAACAAGACAAGGATACCCACTCTTACCACTCATATTCAATATAGTACTAGAAGAGAAAAAAATGAAAGGCATCCAAATAGGAAAAGAAGTCAAATTAAATGACCTGATTACATTAAGAGTTTGTAGAAAGCTATATGAAAATTGTGAAGTCCAAGAAATAATGGGCCAAAGATATGAACAGACTATTTAAAAGAAGAAATACAAATAGCTACTAAATATAAGAAAAATATTCAATATTATTATAACTCAATAATTAAAACAATGAAAGATAAATTTTCACTTGCGTAATTATCTAAGATTTTAACACCAAAACCTTAACAAAAAATAACTAGTATATTCATTAAGCATTGAACCCATAACAGCATTAATTTTAGGGTTTTATATTATTATATCTTCCCAATAACATTATGAGGTAAATTAAAATACTATTAATTTTGTCTTATAGATAAGGAAACTGAGGCACAGAAAGGTTAAGTTACTGTCCCCAAATTATACAATTAACAAGTATAGAATTAATTAGCTGTATAATGAAGGTACAAAAACAGGACACATTTGCAAAAGCAAGTGGTTAGGAAAATTTGTATTACTCTTTCTGGAAAGTAATTTTGCCAATTACAGTAAAAGTCTTAAATATTCATGTGTTTTGACCCAGTTCTGAATAGAATGTGGCAGGGAAAAATTTGCCCCATACTCAAAATTTAGTCTCAAAAATTTACTTATAGCATGTTTTCAAATATATGTAGCTGCAACAGTGAAAGGGGGCACAATATGGGCAAAATATCAACAATATAAGGGCACAGTATCTATTTATTTAGCTATAATTGGAGTTATCAAAATTAGTGAAACAGCCTATTCAAAGAACCACTTCTTCTCCTGCAATTATTTCTGAAATTCCACAGAGAATAACTTATATGTTCTTAGGAACATATCACTGTTAGCCCCAAAGTAATGTCTGTCATTTCTTTTTTTCCTTTTCTTTTTCTCTTTCTTTATTTTCTTTTTTTTTTTTTTTAGAGGCAGGGTCTTGCTCTGTCACCCAGGCTGGAGTGCAGCAGTGCTATTGTAGCTCACAACAGCCTCAAACTCCTGGGGTCAAGTCAACCTTCTACCTCAGCCTCCAGAATAGTTGGACCTGTCATTTTCTTTTTCCCCTTCTCTGGTGGTCTAGGTCTATATGATCACTACTATTTCCTTTGGATCCTACAGATAATGATTATTAATATCATTATCAATAATAATGAGAATCACCTCCCATTGGTACTTACCAAAAGTGGTTTTGCTATTGTCTTAGAGACCAATGCTAATATATGTTTTCAAAATGCACAGAAAAGACTAGAAGAAAAAAATTTCCAAAATGTTGAGAGTGGTTGACCCTGGGTACTGGAATTACGGGTAGGTTACTTTTATTCTTTTCTAATGTGTTGATACTTTAAAAAGCCCTACATTACCAATATAAGAAAAAAATAAAAATGGGAAAATTTAGTAGCACCTAATTGAGGATGCTCTAAAGTCACTTCTTTACTTCTGCTTGATAAGAAGTCTTGATAAAGTAACTGTTATAGGACTAGCCCTCTTGCAGAAAGCAAATATAAAACAAAATATGTGAAACAGCTATTTTCAGACCTTGAACAACAAACAGCCAACTCAGAAAATAATGCCATATAGCAAGGAAACAAACAAGGTAAGCCCTATGATCACACTAGCTTTATGCCTGGAGGCACTTTCAGGACTGTGGTCCACAGAGCGGGAGCCTAAGGAGAGCATGAGACCCTTGCTGAACTGATGAGACGGAGATCCATAATTGATAGCTTGAATTATGGAAGGGAATAGCAGAATGGAAGAAGCTGCAGATAGGGACTTCAGGAATCTCTCTGAGTCTTGGCTGAATATTAAACTATACATACGCAGGATAGAACTGCCAAGTCCCAAAACAGCAACTGCCAGAGGGCTCATGGAAGGCTACAAGATTTTGGAATTTCAGTCTGCCAGAGTAAAGAACCTTCACTGAAAACCCCTGGCACTAAGGTGATACCTCAGAGAGGGTAGGCAGTAAGAGAGGATCGTGATGAGTCAAGGATACATAATGTAACCCCTAGAATAACCATTAAAATATAAAATAAGAGTTATAGTTAAAAATAAAACTAAAAATAGAATAATTTTTAGGTACTCAAGAAGAAAGCAAGAAAGGAGGATAAAAGAACAAAGAATAGATAGGAATATTACAAAGCAAGTAAGATGGTAGACTTAAATTGTATCCATAATTATATGAAAAATAAATGGGCGGCTGGGTGCAGTGGCTCACGCCTGTAATCTCAGCACTTTGGGAGGCCAAGGCGGGCGGATCACGAGGTCAGGAGATCTAGATCATCCTGGCTAACATGGTGAAACCCCATCTCTACTAAAAAAAAAAAAAAATACAAAAAGCCGGGTGTGATGACGGGCGCCTGTAGTCCCAGCTACTGGGGAGGCTGAGGCAGGAGAATGGCATGAACCCGGTAGGCAGAACTTGCAGTGAGCCGAGAGCACGCCACTGCACTCCAACCTGGGTAACAGAGCGAGACTCCATCTCAAAAAAAAAAAAAAAAGAAAAAAAAAAAGAAAATAAAAATAAATGGACTAAACATTCTAATTAAAGGCAGTGATTGTCAGATTGGACAAAAAAGACGTAATGTGTTGTCTACAAGGGATTCATTTTTAAACATAAAAACAGTTGTGTGAAAATAAAAGGATGAAAAAGAATATACCACAAAAACACTAGTCATAGAAAAACTGGAATATATGAATATGAAGTATTACCAGAAACAAAGAAGGACATTTCATAATGATAAAAGTGTCATTCACCACAAAGACAAAACCATACTTAATATGAATGCACTTAATGAAACTTCAAAATGTACAAAGAAAAATTGATGTAACTGAAAGGATAATTAGCAAAAAAAACAGAGAAATATTTGAAGATTTCAACAGTCTTCCTGACAGAACAAATAGAAAATCCATGAGGATACAGAAGACTTGAACAACATGAACAACCAACTTAGCCTAAAGGACGTTTATAGATTACTCTACCCAATAAGTACAGCATATGTATTCTTTTCAAATGCAAAGGGAATGTTCACCAAAGTTAGACTATATATGCTAGACAGTAAATCAAGTCTCAATAACACGGGATTGAAATCACATAAGGCATATTTCCCTGACCATGACAGAATTACATTATAAACCAATAACAAAATCTAGAAAATCCCCAAGCATTTGGAAATTAATCAATACAATTGTAAATAACACATGAGTCAAAGAGGAAATCAAGTGAAATTTTAAACTGCATTATAATAAAAATAGCATTTTAACAAATTCAGAATTATTTTGAACTTTTAAGGAATGGTGATTACTATTTCATTTACTTCATTTGTAGAGAAAAAAGGAAAAGTCAATTTTTTAATGAAGTTGACATTAAATGAATACATATAAAATAGACGTAAAGTCAAAATAAAATGAAAGTGTATAGATAACAGCAGTATTCCATTGTAATAAAACATTGTGATCAAGTGAGCTTTTACCATAAGTGCTTATTTAGGCCAACATTAGTAAATTTATTGAAACAATTCTTCATATTAATAGATTAGAATGGGAAAAAATATCTTAGTAAATGCCTCAAAAGATACTTGATAAAGTTCATATTTCATTCTTGATAAGTAGTTTGAGTCAAACAGGAACTTAAGTATACTTTTTAAAGAAGAAATCTGAGTATTTCTTCTTTTGTATAATAGATATTTGAAACAAAATGCTAGCATTGTGCTTAATGGTGAAATACTAGAAATATTCACATTAAATTCTGAGTTACAAAAAAGGTGTCTGTTTATTTGCCAAGAGTTAGCTAATGAAATAAAAATTAGAAATATAAACTAGAAATGACAGGTATAATTATTGGAAAGGAGAGGGTAAATTTATCACTACTTGTAGGTTGATTTTCTGTTTGTAAATTTTTATATAATCTGAAAACTGGTTCTAATAAAAAATCTGTAAATAGGTAAGTTACATATATGTAACTATGTGCATGGTTTTCTTATATATTAATCAGAACTAATTATAAAATTAATTTTAAAAATATATAATTAATGGCCGGACACAGTGGCTCACGCCTGTAATCTCAGCACTTTGGGAGGCTGACTCAGGTGGATCACGAGGTCAGGAGTTCGAGACCAGCCCAGCCAATATGGTGAAACTCTGTCTCTACAAAAAGTAGCCGCACGTGGTGGCACATGCCTGTAGTCCCAGCTACTCAGGAGGCTGAGGCAGAAAAATCACTTGAACCCAGGAGGGAGAGGTTACAGTGAGCTGAGAGCACACCACCGCACTCCAGCCTGAGCAATAGAGTGAGACTCTGTCTCAAAAAAAATCTATATATAGACATATATATTTTGCCAAAATATGTAGGTGTGAATTTAACATGAATATGTTCAGAAAGAATACAGGAAAAGTCAACATGCATAAATAGAGAAATAAACCTAATTTCTAGATGTAAGATTTAAATATTGTAAAGATATCATTAACAAATTATTGATTCTCATATATTAACGTCCCTAATAATTCTCTCTGTGAGAGGTTGTTAAAAATAAAAGTTCCTGAGTTCTAGAGATTCTCAGTAGGTTTGTGGTTGAACAATTAAATTTGCCTTTTAACAAGTCAGTTTGGTGATTTTGATATGAGTATTCCATGAATCATATTTTGAGAAATATTCCCCAGTAATTATCTAAAAAATAACTGCGGTTATAATCAAAGCCAATAAACAATCTCTGATGGGAAACTTAACAAAATAATTTTAAAGTTTACCCAGATGAATACATGTAAAAATATTCAGAGAAAAAAATCTGAAAAATATGAAAAAGAATTGTGGTTATGGGGAGGGTGGGGAGATTTAACCTATCCAACCTTATGATTTACTATTAGGATAATTTATATGCATTGTACTAGTGCAGATATCAATGCCTCAATGGATTAAAATAGAGAAATGACTCAAACTCAAGTATATAGAGGAACAAATGATAAAGATGTCATCTAAATTGATAGAAGGGTGTATTATTTAAAATGGTGTTAGAATATCTGATTATTTGTTGAGAAAGAAAGTATTTTCACATCAGTTCTTCTCCAAAATCTAGATGGATTAAATATCTCAATATAAAACAAAAAAAATAAAAACACCCCCTAATATTGCTAGGAGAAATAATAGGTGAATATTTGCTGTAATCTTTGAGTGAGAAAGGACCTTCTAAGGACACCATGAAAACCATTTGTAAAATGAAAGTAAAACCACAACTTCATAATATGGATGTAAAGATTAAATTATTTTCTGTAATCTTTGAGTGGGAAAGGACCTTCTAAGGACATGATGAAAACCATAACCATTAACTTAAGATTGGTATATTTTATTATACAACTATTTTAAATGAATGGTTAAAGAACACATATATGTAAAATGTAAGTAACAAATAGAAAAACTACCACATCAAAGAGCCTTTAAAAATCAAGAATAGGAAGAACTTCTCAATGGAAAGGATGGAAAAAGAAATGTTAATGAGCAATTCATAAAAGAAATTCAAATACCCAAAAAGCTAACTATGTAAAGAATGTTCATCCTCACTCAGAATCAGAGAAATGTAAAATAAAACAAGTAGTTACTGTTTCTTTCTCATCATTTTAGAAAAGATGAAATAGATTGAAATCACCCACTATATTTTTGAGAGTAGAACAAACAGATACGAAAAATGTAGGCATGTACATTTATAAAATCTCTCTGCAAGTCAACTTGAAGATATTTAAAAATTATAAAATGAACTTTTCTTTTTTCCTGAACAGCTCAAGTTTTAGGACTTTATATTTTGGAAATAATTATAGGTATGCACAAAGCTTTGTTTCAGAGGATACTCACACCCAGAATTATTTCCAGACTAAATCAACCCACAGTCAAATAATAGGTGTTGCGTTAAATAAATTATAGTTTTCCTATATAATAGAACCTATGCAGTATAGAGAAGTGGGTAAGAGTGCAGACGTCTTAGTCACACATACCTGGTTGAATCTTTGTTCCCTATTTCCTAGCTCTGTAACTTTAGACAATTTAACTCCTTTTTGTCTGTTTCCTAATTTGTAAAATGAACATAAAACCACAACTTCATAATATAGATGTAAAGACTAAATTAAGAACTTAGTGGAAAATTTGCATTATGCCTAGAAACTGCAGTAAAGAAATGACTGCAATGTTGATGGTTATTATTATGATGATAATATGATAAATTTTATCATTAAAAATTTAAGTAGATATGTATTTCCCATGGAAAGATGTTTGACATACTGTTGAATTTAAAAAGTAGGTTACAAAATTGCGTGTATGGGTATGATTTATATATATGGTGCGTGCGTGTGTGTGTGTGTGTGTAGAGAAAGAGAATGAGAGCGTGTGTGTGAGAGATGACTGTTAAAAAAATACCTTTACCACACTAATAATTCTTAACACACAATAACAACTTAGAATTCAGGTAGAGTATATAGGGAATGGTTATCTATATCTCAAAGACAGGATGTGAGTGTATATGTGGATTAGGAAGAATGTGGCTTAATCTCAAAACAGGAAAGGAGTCAAATAAATCAAAAGGACTAAGATGAAATTTAGTCTCATATTCCAAGGAAGACCAGGGATAATTATACTTTCACACTCTGAAGATTTCATGTAACTTTGTAAACTTTCCTAATTAATTCAACAAAGGTATCTCTTTATCTAATGCAGAGAGAAAATGAAGAAGAAAAAATAACTGGTAAAAATAGAATAAAGAGAATAGACTTTAGAAGAAATCAGGGAGGGGAAGCTGAACACAGAAGTCAGGAATTCAGAGGTGTAGAGAGAAGGCAGAAAGAGGAAAAGGAGTACAGAAAGAGAGATGGAAGACAGGTTGTTTCCCCAAACTGAAAGGACAAGAAATGAATCTGTTATCTCTCTGAGGCCCTAACAACATTTTAATTAATATGTCCTTGCCAGATATCTTCTCTTAAGAGTCTCACACAGGCACAGAGCTGCACACAAGGGAATTCTTCCTTGTCACACACACACATCCCAAGCCACATGGACTTCCTCTCAGCTTTACAAACTTAATATCTCATAGAACATGCAGATATTCAAGATACGCTCACACAATTATTTTATATTCTTTTTATGCATCCCCATGGCTACCAAATCTTCCACATAATAAACAGTATCAGAGGAGGTACTGAGCCAACTGGATACTGACCAAGGCTGAGTCACGTGGGAACTTATTCTGTCTGACTTGTATGGGAAGCATATTTGCTTATTGCGTATATGTGTGATGGCACCTGTAGTGGGTATCCTTACTCATTCTGGGAGGGCAGCACTGATTGTAATTGGACCTACTCTCCTCTATGTGCCTTAGATCACCAGGGGATTGGAGCCAGCAGTGCCAGCATTCTTACAACAGTGTATTCATGCAATCTTGGTTCTTTCATATCTCTTAGACCCAGAGCATGACCAAGCTCTTGATGAAGCTTCTGAAAGCACGATTCCTAGTGTCCTTCCAGCTCTTTGCCTATTTAGTGGGCCATACACTAGGGAAGATGGTGGAACAAATGCAAACTGAGGGAGACAATGAAGACGGAAGGGCTGACAGCCGAGGGCAGGGGAGAATCAGGCAGAGGTACTTTTCAACAGTAAGAGGAAAGTAATGTAGGAGGGTACAGCCTCTGTGATCTCTCTGAAAACAGTCTTATCCATGAAGGAGAAGATCTGGAGGAGGGTTTTCAGGCTGGGATTCTGGAGGAGAAGAGTAGGAATTGAATTGTCTCTGGGAATCTAGCAAGGGAAAAATTGATGTGTAAGCGATAAAATGACAAAGTTCACCTTCCCAATACCTTGCCCGCTTCCAACCCCCAATCAGTATTGGAGAATCCTACAGTTTGAGGCCTATCAGTGGCTTCTTCTCTCTCACCTGAGGGCAGAGACAAAACAGGAACAGCACTGTGAGGTCACTGGTGAAGGAACCAAGGATCTAGTACGGAAGGGAGCAACTTCTGTGTCTGCAGATCCACACTTCAAGGACATTCACCTGTTTGTAGGTTGGCTCCTGAGCAATTCCTCCCAAGGCCTGTACTAGCGTCATCCTAGGAGTCTGACTTCATTCCAAGCCTTTTTACTTTGCTCAAGGTACAAATTCTAATTTACCTAGGTTACACTTCTGAACAACGTATTTTTCTTTGAGAAAATAATTAAAAGTGAGGTCCTGAGAATTACGTCAAGAGGGCATTCCCTGGAGCTTTTAAAACCCTCAACTTTATTACCTTTTTTCATCCTCTGAGACACCCTGGGGGGGCACTTTGCATTATGTTTGAAACCACAGACTAAAGTTTCTAAATCATACTTAGGCTTCTTCCAAACCTTACACCATTGTCATTTAAAATGGCATCAACAGATATATTCTCAGGGGTTCATAAGTTTTCAAACTTGTGTCTTTCTTTATATGGTAATTAAATAAAAATGAAAATGAGGAGGTATTGGATCACCTGGATGCTGACTTTCTAATTGACTAATCCAACTTGATTTCAGGCCTGTGCTTTCATTTCAGTTCATGATTGTTTGAGTGCTGTGTGACCACCTTACATAGTGGAGTATAATTTGCTTAGCACCGTCCTAATATAAACATGACAATGAAGGCTTTAAATGTGTGGTTTTTTAAATTTTATTATTATTATACTTTAAGTTTTAGGGTACATGTGCACAATGTGCAGGTTTGTTACATATGTATACATGTGCCATGTTGGTGTGCTGCACCCATTAACTGGTCATTTAGCATTAGGTATATCTCCTAATGCTATCCCTCCCCCTGCCCCACCCCACAACAGTCCCTGGTGTGTGATGTTCCCCTTCCTGTGTCCATGTGTTCTCATTGTTCAATTCCCACCTATGAGTGAGAACATGCGGTGTTTGGTTTTTTGTCCTTGTGATAGTTTGCTGAGAATGATGGTTTCCAGCTTCATCCATGTCCCTACAAAGGACATGAACTCATCCTTTTTTATGGCTGCATAGTATTCCATGGTGTATATGTGCCACATTTTCTTAATCCAGTCTATCATTGTTGGACATTTGGGTTGGTTCCAAGTCTTTGCTATTGTGAATAGTGCCGCAATAAACATACGTGTGCATGTGTCTTTACAGCAGCATGATTTATAATCCTTTAGGTATATACCCAGTAATGAGATTGCTGGGTCAAATGGTATTTCTAGTTCAAGATCCCTGAGGAATCACCACACTGACTTCCACAATGGTTGAACTAGTTTACAGTCCCACCAACAGTGTAAAAGTGTTCCTGTTTCTCCACATCCTCTCCAGCACCTGTTGTTTCGTGACTTTTTAATGATCGCCATTCTAACTGGTGTGAGATGGTATCTCATTGTGGTTTTGATTTGCATTTCTTTGATGGCCAGTGATGATGAGCATTTTTTCATGTGTTTTTTGGCTGCATAAATGTCTTCTTTTGAGAAGTGTCTGTTCATATCCTTCGCCCACTTGTTGATGGGGTTGTTTGTTTTTTTCTTGTAAATTTGTTTGAGTTCATTGTAGATTCTGGATATTAGCCCTTTGTCAGATGAGTAGGTTGCGAAAATTTTCTCCCATTCTGTAGGTTGTCTGTTCACTCTGATGGTAGTTTCTTTTGCTGTGCAGAAGCTCTTTAGTTTAATTAGATCCCATTTGTCAATTTTGGCTTTTGCTGCCATTGCTTTGGTGTTTTAGACATGAAGTCCTTGCCCATGCCTATGTCCTGAATGGTAATGCCTAGGTTTTCTTCTAGGGTTTTTATGGTTTTAGGTCTAACGTTTAAGTCTTTAATCCATCTTGAATTAATCTTTGTGTAAGGTGTAAGGAAGGGATCCAGTTTCAGCTTTCTACATATGGCTAGCCAGTTTTCCCAGCACCATTTATTAAATAGGGAATCCTTTCCCCATTGCTTGTTTTTGTTGGGTTTGTCAAAGATCAGATAGTTGTAGATATGCAGCATTATTTCTGAGGGCTCTGTTCTGTTTCATTGGTCTATATGTCTGTTTTGGTACCAATATCATGCTGTTGTGGTTACTGTAGCCTTGTAGTATAGTTTGAAGTCAGGTAGCGTGATGCCTCTAGCTTTGTTCTTTTGGCTTAGGATTGACTTGGCAATGCAGGCTCTTTTGGTTCCATATGAACTTGAAAGTAGTTTTTTCCAATTCTGTGAAGAAAGTCATTGGTAGCTGATGGGGATGGCATTGAATCTATAAATTACCTTGGGCAGTATGGCCATTTTCACGATATTGATTCTTCCTACCCATGAGCATAGAATGTTCTTCCATTTGTTTGTATCCTCTTTTATTTCATTGAGCAGTGGTTTGTAGTTCTCCTTGAAGAGGTCCTTCACATCCCTTGTAAGTTGGATTCCTAGGTATTTTACTGTCTTTGAAGCAATTGTGAATGGGAGTTCACTCATGATTTGGTTCTCTGTTTGTCTGTTATTGGTGTATAAGAATGCTTGTGATTTTTGTACATTGATTTTGTATCCTGAGACTTTGCTGAAGTTGCTTATCAGCTTAAGGAGATTTTGGGCTGAGATGATGGGGTTTTCTAGATATACAATCATGTCATCTGCAAACAGGGACAATTTGACTTCCTCTTTTCCTAATTGAATGCCCTTTATTTCCTTCTCCTGCTTGATTTCCCTGGCTGGAACTTCCAACACTATCTTGAATAGGAATGTTGAGAGACGGCATCCCTGTCTTGTGCCAGTTTTCAAAGGGAATGCTTCCAGTTTTTGTCCATTCAGTATGATATTGGCTGTGGGTTTGTCATAGATAGCTCTTATTATTTTGAGATATGTCCCATCAATACCTAATTTATTGAGAGTTTTTAGTATGAAGGGTTGTTGAATTTTGTCAAAGGCCTTTTCTGCATCTATTGAGATAATCATGTGGTTTTTGTCTTTGGTTCTGTTTATGTGCTGGATTATGTTTATTGATTTTCATATGTCGAACCAGCCTTGCATCCGAGGGATGAAGCCCACTTGATCATGATGAATAAGCTTTTTGATATGCTGCTGGATTTGGTTTGCCAGTATTTTATTGAGGATTTTTGCATCAATGTTCATCAAGGATATTGGTCTAAAATTCTCTTTTTTTGTGTGTCTCTGCCAGGCTTTGGTATCAGGATGATGCTGGCCTCATAAAATGAGTTAGGGAGGATTCCCCCTTTTTCTATTGATTGGAATAGTTTCAGAAGGAATGGTACCAGCTCCTCCTTGTACCTCTGGTAGAATTCGGCTGTGAATCCATCTGGTCCTGGACTTTTTTTGGTTGGTAACCTATTAATTATTGCCTCAATTTCAGAGCCTGTTATTGGTCTATTCAGAGATTCAACTTCTTCCTGGTTTAGTCTTGGGAGGGTGTATGTGTCAAGGAATTTATCCATTTCTTCTAGATTTTCTAGTTTGTTTGCGTAGAGGTGTTTATAGTATTCTCTGATGGTAGTTTGTATTTCTGTGGGATCGGTGGTGATATTCCCTTTGTCATTTTTTATTGTGTCTATTTGATTCTTCTCTCTTTTCTTCTTTATTAGTCTTGCTAGCAGTCTATCAATTTTGTTGATCTTTTCACAAAACCAGCTCCTGGATTCATTGATTTTTTGAAGGGTTTTTTGTGTCTCTATTTCCTTCAGTTCTGCTCTGATCTTAGTTATTTCTTGCCTTCTGCTAGCTTTTGAATGTGTTTGCTCTTGCTCCTCTAGTTCTTTTAATTGTGATGTTAGGGTGTCAATTTTAGATCTTTCCTGCTTTCTCTTGTGGGCATTTAGTGCTGTAAATCCCTTTACACACTGCTTTGAATGTGTCCCAGAGATTTTGGTATGTTGCGTCTTTGTTCTCGTTGGTTTCAAAGAACATCTTTATTTCTGCCTTCATTTCGTTATGTACCCAGTAGTCATTCAGGAGCAGGTTGTTCAGTTCCCATGTAGTTGAGCAGTTTTGAGTGAGTTTCTTAATCCTGAGTTCTAGTTTGATTGCACTGTGGTCTGAGAGACGGTTTGTTATAATTTCTGTTCTTTTACATTTGCTGAGGAGTGCTTTACTTCCAACTATGTGGTCAATTTTGGAATAGGTGTGGTGTGGTGTTGAAAATAATGTATATTCTGTTGATTTGGGGTGGAGAGTTCTGTAGATGTCTATTAGGTCTGCTTGGTGCAGAGCTGAGTTCAATTCCTGGATATCGTTGTTAACTTTCTGTCTCGTTGATCTGTCTAATGTTGACAGTGGGGTGTTAAAGTCTCCCATTATTATTGTGTGGGAGTCTAAGTCTCTTTGTAGGTCACTAAGGACTTGCTTTAGGAATCTGGGTACTCCTGTATTGAGTGCATATATATTTAGGTTAGTTAGTTCTTCTTGTTGAATTGATCCCTTTACCATTGTGTAATGGCCTTGTCTCTTTTGATCTTTGTTGGTTTAAAGTCTGTTTTATCAGAGACTAGGATTGCAACCCCTGCCTTTTTTTGTTTTCCATTTGCTTGGTAGATCTTGATTCCTTTATTTTGAGCCTATGTGTGTCTCTGCACATGAGATGGGTTTCCTGAATACAGCACACTGATGGGTCTTGACTCTTTATCCAATTTGCCAGTCTGTGTCTTTTAATTGGAGCATTTAGCCCATTTACATGTAAAGTTAATATTGTTATATGTGAATTTGATCCTGTCATTATGATGTTAGCTGGTTATTTTGCTTGTTAGTTGATGCAGTTTCTTCCTAGCCTCGATGGTCTTTACAATTTGGCATGTTTTTGCAGTGGTTGGTACCGGTTGTTCCTTTCCATGTTTAGTGCTTCCTTCAGGAGCTCTTTTAGGGCAGGCCTGGTGGTGACAAAATCTCTCAGCATTTGCTTGTCTGTAAAGTATTTTATTTCTCCTTCACGTATGAAGCTTAGTTTGGCTGGATATGAAATTCTGGGTTGAAAATTCTTTTGTTTAAGAATGTTGAATATTGGCCCCCACTCTCTTCTGGCTTGTAGAGTTTCTGCCGAGAGATCAGCTGTTAGTCTGATGGGCTTCCCTTTGTGGGTAACCCGACCTTTCTCTCTGGCTGCCCTTAACATTTTTTCCTTCATTTCAATTTTGGTGAATCTGACAATTATGTGTCTTGGAGTTGCTCTTCTTGAGGAGTATCTTTGTGGCGTTCTCTGTATTTCCTGAATCTGAATGTTGGCCTGGCTTGCTAGATTGGGGAAGTTCTCCTGGATAATATCCTGCAGAGTGTTTTCCAACTTGGTTCCATTCTCCCCGTCGCTTTCAGGTACACCAATCAGATGTAGATTTGGTCTTTTCACATAGTCCCATATTTCTTGGAGGCTTTGTTCATTTCTTTCTGTTCTTTTTTCTCTAAACTTCTCTTCTCGCTTCATTTCATTCATTTCATCTTCCATCGCTGATACCCTTTCTTCCAGTTGATCGCATCGGCTACTGAGGCTTGTGCATTCGTCACGTAGTTCTCGTGCCTTGGATTTCAGTTCCATCAGGTCCTTTAAGGACTTCTCTGCATTGGTTATTCTAGTTATCCATTCGTCTAATTTTTTTTCAAGGTTTTTAACTTCTTTGCCATTGGTTCGAACTTCCTCCTTTAGCTCATAGTAGTTTGATCTTCTGAAGGCTTCTTCCCTCAACTGATCAAAGTCATTGTCTGTCCAGCTTTGTTCTGTTGCTTGTGAGGAGCTGTGTTCCTTTGGAGGAGGAGAGGCACTCTGATTGTTAGAGTTTCCGGTTTTTCTGCTCTGTTTTTTCCCCATCTTTGTCGTTTTATCTACCTTTGGTCTTTGATGATGGTGACGTACAGATGGGTTTTTGGTGTGGATGTCCTTTCTGTTTGTTAGTTTTCCTTCTAACAGACAGGACCCTCAGCTGCAGGTCTGTTGGAGTTTGCTGGAGGTCCACTCCAGACCCTGTTTGCCTGGATATCAGCAGCGGTGGCTGCATAACAGCGGATATTGGTGAACCGCAAATGCTGCTGCTTGATCGTTCCTCTGGAAGTTTTGTCTCAGAGGAGTACCCAGCCATGTGAGGTGTCAGTCCGCCCCTACTTGGGGGTGCCTCCCAGTTAGGCTACTTGGGGATCAGGGACCCACTTGAGGAGGCAGTCTGCCCGTTGTCAGATCTCAAGCTGTGTGCTGGGAGAACCACTACTCTCTTCAAAGCTATCAGACAGCGACATTTAAGTCTGCAGAGGTTACTGCTGCCTTTTGTTTGTCTGTGCCCTGCCCCCAGAGGTGGAGCCTACAGAGGCAGGCAGGCCTCATTGAGCTGTGGTGGGCTCCACCCAGTTCGAGGTTCCCTGCCACTTTGTTTACCTATTCAAGCCTCGAGAATGGCGGGCGCCCCTCCTGCAGCCTCGCTGCCGCCTTGCAGTTTGATCTCAGACTGCTGTGCTAGCAATGAGCGAGGCTCCGTGGGCGTAGGACCCTTCGATCCAGGTGCAGAATATAATCTCCTCATGTGCCATTTGTTAAGCCTGTTGGGAAAGCGCAGTATTAGGGTGGGAGTGACCCGATTTTCCAGGTGCCATCTGTCACCCCTTTCTTTGACTAGGAAAGGGAATTCCCTGACCTCTTGCGCTTCCCGGGTGAGGCGATGCCTCGCCCTGCTTCCGCTCATGCACGGTGCGCTGCACCCACTGTCCTGCACCCACTGTCTGGCACTCCCCAGTGAGATGAACCTGGTACCTCAGTTGGAAATGCAGAAATCACCATCTTCTGCATCGCTCACGCTGGAAGCTGTAGACTGGAGCTGTTCCTATTCGGCCATCTTGGCTCCACCCTCCAAATGTGTTCTTATAATAAAGTTGCATGCTTTTACTGGACATAAAGTTAGAGCTTTTCTTTTGAGGGGATAATTCACATCAAAGTACAGTTTTGTAGAATGAGACTTCAGTTTGTTAAACCATTAAATCAAGAACTTGCTTTGACCTCATCAAAATGGAATTATTCCTATAATTCTCTCTAGCTAATAACATTCAAAACAAAGGCAAATTTTATATCTAAATATTACATCCATATCCTCTAACGCAGGGGTCCCCAGTCCATGGGGCATGGACTGGTACCAATTCCTGGCCTGTTAGGAACTGGGCTGCACAGCAGGAGTTGAGCAAGCAAAGCTTCATCTGTATTCACAGCTATTCCCCATCGCTCACATAACCACCTGAGCTCGGGCTCTTGTCAGATCAACGGCGGCATTAGATTCTTATAGAAGCATGAGTCCTATTGTGAACTGCACATGTGAGGGATCTAGGCTGCATGCTTCTTATGAGAATCTAATGCCTAATGCTCTGTCACTGTCTCCCATAACCCCCAGATAGGACTGTCTAGTTGCAGGAAAACAACCTCAGGGCTCCCACTGATTTTACATTATGGTGAGTTGTATAATTAATTATATCTTACAACATAATAATAATATAAAGTACACAACAAATATAACGCACTTGAGTCATCCTGAAACCATTCTCACCAGTTCATTGTAGAAAAATTGCCTTTCACAAAACCAGTCCCTGGTGCCAAAAAGGTTGGGGACTGCTGCTCTAAAGGCCAAAAGATGTAAGAGAAAAATGGTGGAAGACCTGAGTTAGATGGTAGTATAGCCATGTGAGGTTCAAAAAAATGGTCTGAAGTCAATCTCTCAATCATATTTCAAATGGCAATTTAGTTTCAGCAAAACATCACTCATCACATTAAGTAGATGTTATTAATTTGAATCTTCTTGTTTTATTGGTTTTGTAACTTGGCTCATACATTATTTGCAGCTTATTTTTGGTTTCATAGCACATATAAACCTAACTCATTAAAATAATTGAGCTATAGTCCATAATATTACCCAAGTGTCTATTAATCCATATTAGTGGACACTTGTGTTATGATGTGGTCTGGCTGTTTTGTCCCCTCCAAATCACATGTTGAAATGTAATCCCCAATATTGGAGATGGGGCCTGATGGGAGATGTTTGAGTCATGGAGGCTGATTCCTCATGAATAGCTTGGTGCCCTCCTCCGCATAATGAGTGAGTTCTCACTCTGAGTTGACGTTGCCTCCCCACTCTCTCTTGCTCCTTATCTCCCTTTATGACATGCTTCCTCCCTCTTCTGCCTTGAGTGGAAGCTTTTTGAGGCCCTCACCAGGAGCAGATAGATGATGGTGCCATGCTTCCTGTACATCCTGCAGAACCGTGAGCCAAAACAAATTTATTTTCTTTATAAATTACCCAGCCTCAGGTGTTCTTTTATAGCAATGTAAATGGACTAACAAAGGTTATTTTTAATCTTTAGACATTAAAACAGTGCCACAGTGAACGTCTTTAAATATGCATGCTTGTGCCCTTGTCAGACATACATGAAGGAAAAGTTTCTTGAGGCTTAATTTCTGGGTCTAAAGATATATTTCTTTTAAATATCAATAGATTGCCAACTTCCCTATTAAAAGGTTGCATTAATTTACACTCCCATCAAAGACAGGTTCTATTTAGTTATATCTTTACTAACATTTGATATTTTCAAACTCTTTAATTTCACTAGTCTTTTATGTAAAAATGGCATCTCATTGTTATATTATGTGATACTTTATACTTGAGGATGCGTATAATATTCTATGTTTGCTGGTCATTTTCATTTCTGTTTTCTGTGAAGTGACTGGTTATTTTCTTTGTTCATTTTTTTTAAATTGGGCTGTTCAACTTTCCTTTAGTGCTTTGAAAAATCCTTGAATAACATGAAAAAAAAATAGCTCTTTGATTTTACCTTGGAAATAAGTTGTTTTGTATTTTTCCAGTTGACTTTCTGTATTTTTGCATCACATGTATATTTTATAATTTAATCTAAGCAAATCAAGAAGTCTTTACCCTTATGATTTTTTGTTAATATTTGAAAGGCTTCTGTTTTTAAAAGTTATGCTGTTTAAAAACCACCCATTTTTTTCTTCTAAGATTTTCCTAGGTTACTTACATATATGGCTTCATTTACCTCTTTATGCATCTAAAATTTGTTTTGATGTAATGAGTAAGATAGAAATCCACCTTAGATGTTTTCCTAAAATGCTCTGTTAGTACCACTTATGGGAAAATGTCTCAGTGATTTTAAATGTGTTTTATACAAGATACTAAACTTCTGCTGGATTCAGTCTATTTTTGTTTCCTGTAATCTGTTCCTTTTCTGACTTTATATTTCCATACAAATATCATGCAATCTTAATTTCTCTTCATTACTCTTGTTGTTGTTGTTTGTTTGTTTGATTATCAGATGCAGAGGAATGAGTGAATAATAATACCTCAGTATATGACACATTGCTGTGCATTCAAAGTCATTTCAAAGCCCCTCTCTTGTTATTTATTTATTTACTGTTTTTTTTTTTTTGCTTAATTTACACCCAAACTTGATTCCTACTGATCCTGTAACCATTCTAAGGTATGCAATACTTTTATTTTGTTTTTGAAAAATGACATTTTTGCGCCTGTATTCTTAATTTACATAAATGATATTTTGCTATATGCCTCTTTGTTTCTCACTTTTCCATCCACCTCTGTCTTTAAGATCATTCAAGTTGCACGTGTGTATCTAATCTCTTTCTAACTGCTGTGGGATCTTCTTTGGTATACATCTGTCACACTTTCATTCATCTTCTCTCCCGGTGAGTAAAGTAATATCCAAATTACACAACACCTCACCAACACAAACAACAGACCAACAAACATTTCAGGAGTGTACCATATATGTCTGCAACACAAATTTTTTGGCTCTATCTTTAACAATAGTGACTGTAACAGAATAAGCAAGTATAAGGTGACCAAGTAATTGCCAGATTCCTTTCCAGGGTGGCTACATTTCTCTACATCTTTCCCAACTGTAAATGAGTGTTATATTCTACTTTTTTGTCAACACTTTACAGTATCTGACTTCTGAATATCTGCATGCCTATTAGATATATCTTTGTTGCTCTAATTTGCATACCTTTGATTATTGATGAATTTGAGTATTGCTTTATATTCTTGTAGCCCAATGAAGTTACTTTTTAATAAATTCCCTTTTTATTACCTCTGCTCTTTTTTTCTTTTGGAGGTTTCTTCCTCTTTTATTGGTTTTTAGAAGTTTATTGTAAATTCCTGGTATTAGATTTTTATTTCTTTTTGGTTTTAAAGAGTGCAAATATCTTATCGATTCTCTCATCTGCCTTTTAGTTTTGTCTATGATGTCCTTCATTGAAGACAAATATCAGATTTTTATGAAATCACATTATCAAAATTATTATTATGGTTTGTGCTTTAGAAGCTTCTCACTCTAGGTCAGAAAGATGTTCTATGTTTTATTCAATTGTGTCATTGTTCTCTTGCAACTTTTAGATATTTAATTCATTTACAGTTTACCTTCTTCTATCATGTTAGGTAGGAGTCCAGCTTTATTTTTCTCTATGTAGTAAACCCACTTTACTAACATTATTTAATAAACTATTTTCCCTTCCGTGATGATTTTTGGACTGAACTTCATTGTATATTCGATTTCCACATGGGTCAATCTATGAGGTCTTCATTCTCTTCTATTTGTTTATTAGTCTTTTATTTTTTGCAACAGTGCCACCTGGCTTTGTTTACTAAAACATCACTGTGTGAGATTCATCTATATGGTTATTTGTAGCAGTAGTTCATTTATTTTAAATTATTTGATAGTATTCCACTGCATGACTGTACCAAAATTTATCTTTTCTATTGCCCATATAAATTTATAGTTTCCAGTGTGAGGTAGTATGAATAAAGCTGTTATAAACATCTTTATATACATTCTTGGTGGATGTAAACACTCATCTCTGTTAGGTATATGCTCAGGAGTGGAATTACTGAGTCATAGGGAAGGCATGTTTAGCTCTGTATTCAAAGATACTTCCAAATGGAATTTTAAAATTGACTCTAAGAATTTATGCTCCCATAAGCAATGTAAATTGCTCAGTCATTTTATCCTTTTTGATGAGGATTAGTGGAATTTCACTATGGTTTTTGTTTATATGCCCTGAGGGCTAATTATGTTGCACACCTTTTCATGTGCTTATTAGTTATTTTTATCTCCTATATTGAAAGTGCTTGTTCAAGTCTTCTGCCCATTTTAAAAAACTGGAAATTTCCAACTTTTCTTATTCATTTTTAGTAGTTCATTATATTCTGGGGATCACACCTATAGCTTACTATCAAGTTCTTAAAATGATATGTTTGTAAATACAGACAAATGATAAAAATGTGACAAAATAATAATTGGAGAATAGGAGTAAGAGAGGTATGGGAGTTTTGTACAATTTTAACTTTTTTGAAAATTTGAAATTATTTTTAAATACAAAATTATAAAATAACAAAAGTTTACCAAATATAAAATTTACACATGTATTTTGATGAACTTCCCTTTGTAACTTTGAAAACAAACTGACAGAAAAATCAGTAAAGATATGAAGATTTTTAACCATCCATTGACAAACTTGACCTGATAGAATATCCTATTCAATCATGTTTTGTGAGAGCTGGTCCATGTTCAGTTGGCTTTTTGTCTTAGGATAGTCATTCAGGAGTTGCAACTGAAAGAGTGGGGTTTCTGCCAGAGGCTCTCTTCTTTTCAGACCCTCATCTCCACTCCCTCCACTCATGCCCAACACGGCTTCAGATACTCTTTGGAGGAATTTTAAAAAGCTAATCAGAGTACTTGAAGGTTTTTCAGCCTCTCTTCTTTCTGGGCAATTTAGGATTCATTTCTGTATAATACATTTCCTGAACAATGCCAAAACTCAGATACCTATTTATAATCTCAATCCGGTAGCCCTAGTTATAATAATCAGAGAGAGTATTTATTGACTTCTTACTACATGAATACATTATGTTAATCACATTCATCTAATTATTATTATCTAGGTCACATCACATTCATAATCTACAAATGATGAACTTTCTCAAAATTATACGGTGTATGGAGTAGACTTAAGTTGCAACCTAGTATTTTTTCCTTCAGAAACCAAATACTTAATTGCAACAATACAATGCTTCTCCAAAGAGAAGACATGTAAGAATTCATGATGGGACCTGTAAACAGAGATGTGACTGCTAACTGCATGTTATTTTCTGCCCTCCTTATAACCATTTGGGAACCTTCTGAGAGGAAGCACAGCTCAAGATCCCCCCTAATGATTCAGAATTCACCTGAGCACTTCACCTGCTCCAGAGACTGCTTCTAGTATCCCTGCTGTTCACCTCATTTAAATTGAACTATTGTTGCACAATATACTGTGAAGTCCATGATAAGACCTTTGGCTGGAGCAGAAGGACATGGGAGTTGTGGGGATTCCCCTTCCTGCTTTGTTCTTGACTTTGGAGATTCTACTGAGCCCTTTGCTTTTATGAAAATATCCCTGCTGTCCGTGTTCTGCCCATGCTGCCTCCAGTGCACCTGAAGCACTTTCCCATCAATAGTGGAGTGTCTTTATTGGCTTTCCATGCCAATTTGATCTTTCTCCATCATAGGACAAAATATTGGTAAGATTATTAGAGGGTGGGGGAAGATAAAGCATGAGATGAACAAAGAAGGGATAACTGATATATTGGGAGTGAATTGGTTTTAACATTGTCATAGATTTGGTTTTTAAAATTCAACTAATTTTGTCCAAATAATCTGATTCATAGAGCTAAATCTTCTGTAATAGATTTAGCCAAGGTTTTATTCCACAGTGGATCTACCTTATCAAACCACAATTACAATGCAAAATTACCTGAGAAGAAGAATCCTGACACTCACCTTATGTAGATATAGGCAGAATTTTCATGGAGTCAGTATTGTTCCTTTGGGTAGTGTTTTCTTGCCTTGTTGAACTTGATTTGGAAGAAAGTAAATAGGTATGGATGATAAGGAATAGAGGATTTTAAGTGTGAAGGATCTTGGAATCAGAAGAGAAATTTAGTAGTTTTCTCTTGGTGCCTTAGGGGTTTACTCAGTCTCTTCTTCCTAAAATTCACATCAGGTTAGATAATGCATGTTTCTGTGACCCTGTCTTCCTTTTCCATATCCAGTGACATATTTTATTTTTATAGAAATGAACTCACAAATGTATGTTAAATCTAGAAAAAAAGTAAAATGAAATGGCAGAAAGGTTGACAGTGAACATGATTTTCTTATAGGAGCTTCTTGACCCTGGGAGCAGATTCAATGTCACCTGGAGGAACATTTCGTCCTCTACATTTGCATGGGAGAATAACATTTTTAAAGAAAAATCAGGAGAGATTGGCGTGCTGCCTTCTAGTGCATAATCCCAGGGTCAGTGAGAACTCCTAGCATCTGACAAGTCATAAATCACACTCATCTCTTCCTTACATTCCCCTCTCTGTCTCTTGCTACTTTGGCTCAGGTCAAATCAGTTCAAGAAACATGTGTTGGACACTTATAATGTATGATGACTGCTCTTATTTTCTGTGAATAAAGATGATTCAGATGTGATCTCTACCCTTGACTATCTTACAGTCACAGAGAAAGACAAATAATTTTAATATAATTTGTTAAGAGCTGTGATGGAGGTAAGTACAAGATGCTGTAGGTATACTTGTGCATCTAAGATAGATTAGTTGTTTGTGAGTGTGTGTATTGGTGTGTGTATGTCCGTGTGTATTGGAGGTAGGAATAGGGAAAGTTTGTGGGATTGTTTCTGGAGTATATTTTTCCTAGACAGAATCTTAAAAAATTCGTCTGGCTATGGTTATGAGCCAGATGAAGAAGGGATAGAAATCATAGCAATATCCTGTAACTTCACTTTCATTAAATTAACCACTGATTGTAGTCATCACTTTAAATTTTGTGAAGAATGCTTAGTTTTATGCTCAATATCTTCTTTTGTCAAAACTGAGAAAGATTGTTTGTCTATCATTTAATTTTCCTTGAGATTTAGATACATTATTGATACAGTTGTAATCAAATTCTAAAAAAAAAAAAAAATTCTACTCTAAGAAGAGTGAAAATTGTGGCAGAAAGAGTACTGAGTCTAAAGATCCTGAGCTGAACCAAATCCCGGAGCCTCTAAGAACTAACCAGGTAGCACCTTCCACCAGATGGACGGCAATTCAAAATGTAGCAATGTTTAAATTACCTGTATTCTCGAAATTTATTTTTATATCAGCTGTTTTGATAATACACTATTTTTCTCTTTAGAAGCAATTCTCTATTAGTTTGATGTGATAGATTATATAGATTCCTTAAACCAATATTGGCTGTGAATCTATGATATTCCAAGGACCACTGTAGGCACTGGGGATGAAACAATTTGGCCCCTCCCCTCTGGAGTTCTTTAGTGTTAGGAACTGGGTTTTCAGTCTGTATCCCCAGTCTTTAGCATATGCTTGGTACACAGTATTTGCTCAAAAAATAAGATTGATTGAATATTCAAAGTATGATGGGTGCCCAAGGAAAGTAATGATACCTTGATTTAGTGGGCATGTCTTTGAGTAGAGGGACTATGCGGAGCAAAAAACAGTGGGGTGTAAAAATGCAGTGTGTTCTAGTTAGTTGGTATGGGATAAGGCTGGTAAGGTTGCCTGCAGATGGATACGGGAGGGTGGAATTTATCTATATTCAGTGTGGGGCCGTAAGTAATCATCAAGCAGAGATGTAATTATTCATAATTATGTTTTATTTATCAGTTATTGAATGAGTTGATTTCCCTTGAAATAAAGGTAGGCACTTCTATAACTGCTAGGCACTACAGTTTTTAGATATTGGCAGCATCTATCAAAAGTAAAGATATGCCTACCCTTATATATTCCATCTTGGATAAAGCTCGTACCTAGCAATTCGAATGTTTGTAGTTTACCTTAACAGATATATTGGTAACAGTGAAAAACAATATATGTATAGGAATGTTCATAACATAATTGTTTGTGGTAGCATAAATTGGCCCCAATATTAATGTTCATCAATAAGAGAATAGTTAACTAAGTTTTGGTTTAACTGTAGTTTAACTGTAGTTAAACTGTAGTGTGGAATATAATGAAATCAATAGCAAGACATAGGTATAGCTATATATATTGGTCAAGAAGTGTCTCCAAGATAATAGCGATTGTTGGGAAAATTAAGTCATTAAATCATATGTTAACTACAAAAGTGTGCATACTCATGTACATACACATATGCATTTGTGTTTGTGTGTTGTGTGTGTGTATTAATTTGAATTAATAGACATCTGGAAAGATGTATACCAACCTGTGATCTATGGTTACTAATGGAAAGGGTATTGGGCTTGAGGGTGTTTGGAAAGAGACTTACTATTACCATACATTTGGGCGATGCATGTTGGACACACCACACAACTTACCATTTAAAGTGTATAATTCAATGGCTTTTAGAATATTCACAAAGTTATGCAACCATCACCACAATCAATTTTAGAAGTTTTTCGTTACTCCAAAAAGAAACCATACATTCCTTAGTCATCATCATCCAGTCCTCCTATAACCCCAGCCCTAGGCAACAACCAATCTACTTTCTTTCTCTATAGATTTGCCTGTTCTTGACATTTAATATAAATGAAATCATGCAATATGTCATCCTTTGTGACTACTTTTTTCACTTAATATAATGTTTTTAAGGTTTATTCATGTTGTACCATGTTCAATCCTTTATATGGATATATCACCGTTTTGTTTGTTTGTTTGTTTGTTTGTTTGTTTTTGAGGTGGGGTCTCTCTCTCTCACATGGACTGAAGTGCAGTGGAGTGATCTCAGCTCACTGCAACCTCTGCCTACCCTGTTCAAATGATTCTTCTGCCTCAGCCTCCCAACTATTTGGGACTATAGGCATGTGCCATGATGCCCAGCTAATTTTTGTATTTTTAGTAGAGACGGGGTTTCACCACATTGGCCAGGCTGGCCTCGAACTCCTGACCTTAAGTGATACACCTGCCTTAGTCTCTCAATGTACTGGGATTACAGGCGTGAGCCACCACACCCAGCTGATATATCACCTTTTCTTTATATATTCAAAGACATTTCACTTTTTGTCTTTGGATCACTGCACTTTTTGAGTATTATGAATAATGTTGCCATAAACATTCATGTATAAGTTTTTGTGTGCAACATATGCTTTCAGTTCTCTTGGGTATATACCTACTGGTGGGATGGCTGATTCATATGGTAACCTGCTAGCCATCCTAGTAGGTGTAAAGTTGTATGCTATTGTGGTTTTGGTTTGCATTTCCTTTATGGCTAATGACATTCAACATATTTTCATGTGCCTACTGGCCATTTGCATACCTCTTCTGGAAACAATGTCTATTTAGATTCTTTGCCCAGTTATTAATTATATTATTGGCCTTTTTATTACCAGGTTATGTTTCTTATATATTCTAAATATAAGTCCCTTATCAGATACAGAATTTGCAAAAATTTTCTCCCACTCTGTGGGTTGTCTTTTCACTTCCTTAATGGTGTCTTTTGAAGCACAAACATTTTTAATTTTGATGATGTCCAATTTATTAATTTTTTTCTTTTGTTCTGAAAAATATATATTTGATGTATATTTAAAATACAATTAAGCAAACAAAATGTTAAAATTAAGTAACTTATCTTCAAAACTGAGGAGGAATATAGAGTTCCTTTTAAGGATTAGGTAAGAGGCTTTTATCCTTTCAAAGATTTTAGAGTTTGGTGGCACTGGTTTTTATTTTACCATTGAATCAACATCCACACCTCCATTTACCTGATATAATGGTAATATTGTGTAACCATTACATTTATATGATTTGATATGAGACTGTTTTTGTTTTGACAGATTTTCCTAGATGTGTAAAAGAGGAGAATAACATAAAGAATAATCTGTATTTTGAGTTAAAAAAGAACCTTTTAAGTAATTAATCTGTACATTGTAAAGTAAAACAGTAAGGTGAAATTGTTTTCAGGCTTCTTCCTCTGGTGGTTAAAATAAAAGTGGAGAAGAGAAAAGAAATTAGGTCAAACTTTTCCCAGATTGGTTGTTAGTGGTAACTTTGGCCCAGGACAGCTACATTCCTGTCTGGAGAAAAGATGTTGCAGGAGAAATCCCAGGAAGTGAGGAAAGGAGTGTAGAGTCCATGGCTTACCAGTAGTGGGCAAAGGTGGAAGGGTTATAAATTGGATTTTGTCATACAGGTGATGCATGTTGGACTGAGCTGTTTGCTTAAGGCCTTCTGCCTGCAAAGTGAGCAGGGAGCAATGCTAAAAATCTAAAGCACCAAACAGTTAAGTAGAAGTGCAAAGGGACCTTCCTCCCAATGCCAAATTCCAACTTTAGTCTGAAGACCAATTAGGAATTGAAATCTTTCATTTCTTTGACTCACAGACCAATCCAGATGCTGAGACTCTGTTACTAGATTATGTAGGGTGTAATTATGTCTTTTTTTTTTTTTTAAGAAATCTCCTGGGGATTCCTGTAACCCAAGTGAGTTCTGCAACTTGGAGTAAAATGTTACTTCTTTATTTTTATTTTCCCCTAACTGAAAGTTGATGTTTCCTTCCAATTTGAATGCAAGTAACCAACCCACACCAATATTAGAAGTATTTATGACTTTGTCAGCAGTAGTAATTATAAGAATTTTTATATTGTATTGCAGTTGTTGGAGAGATCTCCAAATATTTAAACTCATCATTATTTTGAAATGAAGATGGTTATTAGACCCACCACTACATTTCAAAATTTTAGTGTATTAATAAAGAAGCACATATATTGCTGTTTACAAATCTGTTTTCTAAAATTATTTCGATAACTGTATTTTGATATAACTGGTTTCCTTAGTAATCCTATACATTTTATTTGATGTATTTAAAACGTTATTCTGAGATACTTTCACCAGACAGTTAAAGGATTGATAGCCCAACCCGTGTATAGGATCTTAAACTTTACACTTTAAAGTAAATTTATTTCCCTTCTTTTTGGAACAGCTCCACAAAATTGGATTATTATTTCAAATCTCTCTAGGGATATTGGCAAAACTTCTAAATGACTCTGCTTAACTATGTGATCAAATTATTATTTGTTTAATGAATTATGGTCATTTATGAAATGAAGTTCTCTGCTATGACTCGTAAAGGACACAGAGGTGAAAAAGACATGGAAACTATTTTCAAAGGAACTTTTACTTTTGCGGGGGGAGTGGACAGATAATGCATATAATTTTTAGCAGAGAGAGCTGGGGAGTAGTGCTGTTTGGGCTGAGTATGAAACTAGTCACGCTGGTGGCTTAAAATGAAAATTCTGTTTTGATGGTGTGTCTGTTATGTTGGAAGTTCATTCACAGTTGAGACTGAACAGAACTCAAGCTGAGGCTTCAGATAGGATTCCCAAGGGTATCCTGAGTTAATCTTTGGTTTCCCAGCTCCTGTAAGACAGGTTAGTTTCTTAAATAAAACATACCAGTACTTTGGCTCTTTCTGATTTCTTATACCTTCGTGTCTGTCCTTTCACGGAAAATACAACAGAAAACTATATTATCATAAGCGGGGAAGAGGAGATGTGACAAGAGCACTTACGACTCAGGGGTTTTAGTTAAGAACAAACAGAAATTAAATGGCAGGACTTTATAGATGAACTCAGTCTGTATTTAATATTGTATTATTAAAAGTGTGGTATTCAGAGTGAGAAAAATAATTTTAAAAATCTATTCTTGCCAGATGACATCAACAATGAATGCAACATCTTTTAAAGTTTGTTTTACAACACTGAAAATGTTCCAATGAAAGAAACATGATCATCTTATGAAGGGGGTTCTTGAAATTTTCAGTAGAAATTGGGGCAGTTCCTAAGCCTGCACTTCTGAATTATATAATTTTATAGGTATGCCTGTCTATGGTTAGCACATAGTGACTTCTTACTGAAAAGGACAACAAACTATGAGACAGATAAATCAGACACAAGTGACAGAATTCCTCCTTCTGGGACTCTCTGATGGGCCACACACCGAGCAGCTGCTATTTATCGTATTATTGGGTGTCTACCTGGTCACTGTGCTTGGAAATCTGCTTCTAATCTCCCTTGTTCATGTTGACTCCCAACTTCACACACCCATGTATTTTTTTCTCTGCAACTTGTCTCTGGCTGACCTCTGTTTCTCTACCAACATAGTTCCTCAGGCACTAGTCCACCTGCTTTCCAGAAAGAAGGTCATTGCATTCACACTTTGCGCAGCTCGACTTCTCTTTTTCCTCATTTTTGGGTGTACCCAGTGCGCCCTTCTTGCAGTGATGTCCTATGATCGCTATGTTGCAATCTGCAATCCTCTGCGTTACCCTAACATCATGACCTGGAAAGTGTGTGTCCAGCTGGCAACAGGATCATGGACCAGTGGCATTCTGGTGTCTGTGGTAGACACCACCTTCATACTGAGGCTACCCTACCGAGGCAGTAACAGCATTGCTCATTTCTTTTGTGAGGCCCCTGCACTATTGATCTTAGCATCCACAGACACCCATGCATCAGAGATGGCCATTTTTCTTATGGGGGTTGTGATTCTCCTCATACCTGTTTTTCTGATTCTGGTATCCTATGGCCGTATCATAGTAACTGTGGTCAAGATGAAGTCAACTGTGGGGAGTCTCAAGGCATTTTCTACCTGTGGCTCCCACCTCATGGTGGTCATACTTTTTTATGGATCAGCAATTATCACTTACATGACACCCAAGTCTTCCAAACAGCAGGAAAAATCGGTGTCTGTTTTCTATGCAATAGTGACTCCCATGCTTAATCCCCTCATCTATAGCCTGAGAAACAAGGATGTGAAGGCAGCTCTGAGGAAAGTAGCCACAAGGAATTTCCCATGAAGGCTTGGAATCTCACACTGACAGTGAGCTCAGAGAACCTTTTGGCTTCCTACTTCAAAGACTTGCTGGGAAGACATGGAATCAACCCAGGTGGATTGGATTTTTAAAAATGTACATTGGCACACTTGGTTTCTCAAGTCACCTGCTTGGCCCCCTTCCAAGTTGTACTTTCCTTCTTTTTCCTCCTTTCCTTTTCCTTCCTTACTGTTCTAAAGCTTTTTAATAAACTTTCTCCTGCTTTGAAAACAAAAGTACATATACACCATGGAATACTATGCAGCCACAGAATAGAATGAAATCATGTCATTCGCAGAAACATAGATGCAGCTTGAAACCATTATCCTAAGTGAACTAGCACAAAAACAGAAAACCAAATACTTCATGTTGTCACTCATAAGTAGGAACTAAACATTGGGTACATATGAAGACAAAGGTGGGAACAATAGACATTGGGGACTACTAGATTATGGGAGGGAGGGGGAAGGGTTAAAAAAACTACCTATTACCTACTCACTACCTGGGTGATGGATTCATTTGTACTCCGTATCTCAGCATCACATGATATACCTCTGTAACAAACCTGCGTGTGTACCCTCGATTTTAAAATAAAAGTTGAAAAGAAGAAAAAATGCACATTAGATTTCAAATTTTCACACCTATATGAAAATAGAATTTAAATCATGTCATTAGTAATTTTATATGGATGGCATGACAATAAAATAATATTTTAATATATTGGATAAAATAAACTTATATTATTAAAGAAGACTTGCTGGGTAGCCCTCTTCTTTGTGAATCTAAAATATGGTAAGACTTAAAGTGATGGATATGGTAATTACCCTGATTTGATTATTATACAGTGTTTCCATGCATTGAAACATCACACTGTATTCCCAAACTATATATAATTATGTCAATTGTAAATTAAAAATTAATAAAAAATATGGTAAGATTCTTATTCTTGGGCCTTATCCATAGACACACCCTCTATCCTTCATCCTGCATTTCTTTCATAGAAGGAGAAGGACAGTAATTCGTGGAGCAATCGGAAGGAGGATATGCTTCCTTCTGGTTGGTCCTTTGACACCTAAGGGTTGAGAAATCCCCCGAGAAACACACATATTTTATAAGCCTTGTAAAATCTACCTTTTTAATAATGCTGTGTATTATCACCTGTCTATTTCAGATCTTACTTCAAGTCCTTTTTCTTTTGGTACTTCTGAATCTCTCTGCATCATCAAATGATCAATAAATAGACATTACTGAATCACTTACTATGAGCTAGGTGCTACATGTATGTTGGCATGTGCACCTGTATGTGTGCTTAACATGGGTAATGAAGAGCATGGGTACAATGAAGCAGAATATATGAGCTCTGCTCTCCTTCTCACACTCTTTTAGAAACATAAGGATCATATTTATCAGGATACATCTTCATAAAGATGAATATAGGAGTTGTGGAAACCAGCAAGAAATAGTGACATATTCCAAGAATAGTGACACATAGCAAGAGTGAGAAGCTGTAACTAACGCTAAGCCTGAATGACCAAGAGGAGGGAACTAGAACCTGGAGAGGGTAGAAATATGCTAAGGGCACAAGGCAGTAACTGTGGACTTAGGCTATGTGAAGGCAAGGAAGCCATGAGAAGAAATATTTCTCAAGCCCATTTTCCACCCACCTTCTGATCCCCCACTATTGTATTCCAATTAGAAGCCAGGGAACAAGGAGCCTTTTGGTATAATCCATAAAAGATGTCAAACATTCTGAAGCACATAGCAAGCTGAAAAAGGATAGAAGGTAGATCTGGAAAGGTCAACTGGTGAAGTACACACCTTTTGCCCTCAGCATCCACTTCTTTCAGTGATTAATTCATATTTCTAATACAGGGAACACATAAAGTTCCATTAAGAACTATATCATAGCGGCATGATATCAAGTAGCTCACACTTCTACTTGCTACATAAAAGAATAGCTCCTGTCATGATTATTTATGTAAGTTGAAAGAGGAAGAGCAAAAAAGGCAAATAATTAGCAGAAAACATAGCTATTGTAGCTCCTAATCCTGCCCCAGACATAAGTTGATAATTATAGCTTGTTCTTTCACTACCCTTTCATGGATTTCTTATTTTCTGCCTTAAGCTCAGCTCACTGGAGTTTTTTAACAGGTGTGGCAACCTAAAACTTCTTACCTGTAATATTTGAGTTATTGATGATTCTGTTTTTTTTTTTAACTTTTAGTTTCACGGGTACATGTGCAGGTTTATTATATAGGTCAATTGCGTGTCACAAGGGTTTGGTGTACAGATTACTTCATCACCCAGGTAATAAGCATAGTACCTGATAGGCAGTTTTTTTTATATTCACCCTTCTCTTACCCTCAACCCTCCAGTAGGCCACAATATCTGTTGTTCTATTATTTGTATCCATGTGTACTCAATATTTAGCTCCAACTTATAAGTGAGAACACACAGTATTTGGTTTTCTGTTCCTGTGTTAAGATAGGATAATAGCCTCTAGCTCCATTTATGTTGCTGCAAAAGACATGATCTCGGTCTTTTTCATGGCTGTATAGTATTCCATGGTGTATATGTACCACATTTCCTGCTATTGATGGGCATTTAGGTTGATTCCATGCCTTTGCTGTGTGAATAGTGCTGCGATGAACATAACCATGCACGTGTCTTTATGGTAGAGTAATTTATATTCCTCTGGGTATATACCCAGTAATGGCATTGTTGGGTCGAATAGTAGTTCTGTTTTAAGTTATTCAAGAAATCACCAAACTGCTTTCCACAGTGGCTGAACTAATTTACATTCCCACCAGAAAAGTGTTCCCTTTTCTCTACAATTTTGCCAGCATCTGTTTTGTTGTTGTTGTTTTGACTTTTTAATAGTAGCCATTTTGACTGGTGTGAGATGGTACCTCATTGTGGTTTTGATTTGCACTTCTCTAATGATTAGTGATGTTGAGCATTTTTTCATATGCTTATTTGCCACTTGTATGTCTTCTTTTGAAAAGTGTCTGTTCGGCAACCTATAGAATGGGAGAAAATTTTTGCAATCTATCCATCTGACAAAGGTTTAATATCCAGAATCTACAAGGTCCTTAAACAAATTTTCAAGAAAAAGCAAACAAGCCCATCAAAAAGTGGGTGAAGGATATGAACAGACACTTCTCAAAAGAAGACATTGATGTGGCCAACAAACATATGAAAAAAAAAAGCTCATCATCACTGGTCGTTAGAGAAATGCAAATCAAAACCATAATGAGATACCATCTCACACCAGTGATAATGGTGATTATTAAAAAGTCAGGAAACAACAGATGCTGTTGTGACTGTGGAGAAATAGGAATGCTTTTTGGTGGGAGTGTAAATTCACTCATTCAACCATTGTGTTCAACCATTGTGGAAGACAGTGTGGCAATTCCTCAAGGATCTAGAACCAGAAATACCATTTGACCCAGAAATACCATTACTAGGTATATACTCAAAGGATTATAAATCATTCTACTATAAAGATACATGCCCACGTACGTTTATTGCAGCACTGTTCACAATAGCAAAGACTTGGAACCAACCCAAATGCCCATCAGTGATAGACTGGATTAAGAAAATGTGGCACATATACACCATAGAATACTATGCAGCCATGAAAAAGGATGAGTTCATGTCCTTTGCAGGGACATGGATGAAGCTGGAAACCATCATTCCCAGCAAACTATCACAGGAACAAAAAACTAAACACCGCCTGTTCTCACTCATAAGTGGGAGTTGAACAATGAGGACACATGGACACAGGGAGGGGAACATCACCCACCGGGGCCTGTCGGGGGATGGAGGTCTAGGGGAAGGATAGCATTAGGAGAAATACCTAATGTAGATGACTGGTTGATGGCCACAGCAAACCACCATGGCACGTGTATACCTATGTAACAAACCTGCACGTTCTGTACATGTATCCCAGAACTTAATATGTGTGTGTGTGTGTGTGTGTGTGTGTGTGTGTGTGTGTATAGATGTAGTGGGATATTGAAATCTCCTACTATTGTTGTGTTGTTTTCTATTTCTCTCTTATAATTGTCATATCTTCCTGGTAAATTGACTTTTTTATCATTAAATAATGTTGTTTCTGGTAAAAAAAAATTTGGATACTAAGTAAATTTTTAAATATATTTACTTATATTACTACTATTTTTATGGTCTCCATTTCTTTAAATACCAGATTTTCCTATGGTATCTTTTTTTTTTTATGAGAGAGAGAATCTCCCTCTGTTGCCCAGGCTGGAGTGCAATGGTGTGATCTTGTCTCACTGCAACCTCTGCCTTCCAGGTTCAAGCAATTCTTCTGCCTCAGCCTCCGGAGTAGCTGGGATTACAAGCGTACGCCACCATGCCCAGCTAATTTTTGTATTTTTAGTAGAGATGGGGTTTCGCCATGTTGGACAGGCTGGTCTTGAACTCCTGACCTCAAATGAGTCGCCTGCCTTAGCCTCCCAAAGTGCTGGGATTTAGAGGCGTGAGCCACCACACCTGGCCCGTGTATCATTTTTCTTTCTGCCAACAGGACATTCTTTAATATTTCTCATGGTGTGGGTTCTGCTGGTGATAAATCTTTGAGGTCTTGTATGCCTGAAGACATCTTTATTTCCCTTTCTTTCTGAAAGATATTTTTCCAAGTGTAGAATTTCAGGTTGAAAAATTGTTATTCTCTTGAATACCATAAAAGTCTTGCTTCATTTTGACTTACCTGTATTGTTTTTGATGAGAAATTTGATGTTATTCTTATCTTTATACCGCTATACATAGAATGCCTCGCCTCCCTCCCACTGGCCACTTTTGACATTTTCTCTTTATCATTGTTTTTTGAGCAATTTGATAATTACATGCCTTTAGTTATGTGTCTTCATTTTTTTGTGCTTAGCATTTACTGAGTTTCTTGATCTGTGGTTTATAGTTTTAATTAAGTTTGGAAAATTTTCAGCCATTATTTCTTCAATTTTTTTTTCTGTCCTCTCCTCTGCCTTGGTGACAACAACTACCTTCATGTTACACAGTGTGAAGCTGTCCCATAGTTCACTGATTTTCTTCTCATATTTTGTATTCATTTTTCTGTTTTATTTTGCATTTTCTATGGCTATTCATCAAACTCACTAATCTTTCATCTGTAATATTTAACCTGCTGTGAATCCCATTCAGCATATTTTTTATCTCAGATATTTTAGTTTTCATCTCTAGAAGTTTAATTTGTCTTTTATTTATAGCTTTCATGTCTCTACTTAACTTTTTAAACATATGCAATAACATAACTTTTAATATTTTTCTCTGTTAATTGTAACATTTGAGTCAGTTCTGGGTTGATTTATACTGATTTTTCTCCTCATTATATAAGTCGTTATTTCCTTGCCTCTTTACATAACTCATAATATTTTATTGAATGCCAGACTTGGTGAATTGTACTCCGGTGGATTCTGGGTATTTTTTGTATTCCTATAAATCTTCTTGAGCTCTGTTTTAGAATTCAGTTAATTCACTTGGAGATAATTTTGTCCTTTTGTGTTTTGCTGTATGAATTGTTAGGTGGGTCTGAAGCAGTGCTCAGTATAGGGACAAGTATTCCCCATTACTGAAACTGGACCTTCCTGTGTCTTCTACCCACTATTCCATGAATTACGAGTTTTTCCAGCCTGAATGTTGGGAACAGGAACTACTACGGACGCTGTGTTCATGCCAAGCACCTCTGATGCTTCCTTTGATTCTTTCTGATGGCTATTTCCCCAGCCTTGGACAGTTTCTTCAGATGTATATGCTTGACTCTATTGAACAGGCAAAATGGAACCCTTTTAGATCTTTGGGGTTCTCTTTCTCTGCAGATCTCTCTTCTCTGTTATACATTCATAAGGTTTACCTCATTTGTTTCCAGTCTCTCAGCAGCTACTTTCCTTTGTTGCTTGATGCCTGTGTCTTGAAGGATCATTGTTTCATGTATTTTATGTGTTTCTTATTTTATTGTTTTAGGTGAGGGGTAAATCCAATTCCTGTTATTCAATTTTGGCTAAAAGTAGAAGTCCTTGAGAGTAGTTTTGATTTTCTTTCAGCAGTTTAAAAGTATTATCCCACTGTCTTCTGTCTTCCACTGATTTTGTGATTGTATAGATGCTTTTTACATATTCTCTATATCTTTCTCAGCATTTTGATGTGATTATTTATTTGTTTGTTTTAGCTATCCGATCGGTGTTCACTGAGCTAGTATTTTTTTCAGATATTGCATCTCTTTTACTTTATTGTTTTCTCCTGGAAATCTGACTATCCATGATTTAGACCTTTTTGCTTAGTTGAACTTTTATGCTCATTTCTTTATTTTCCCTCCTTTTTGTTCTGTGCTTCTGTCTCCATACTTTCTACTGAACAAGACTACAGTTTATAAATTATCTCTTCTGCTTTGTGGACTTTGCTATTGAGCCTACCTAATGAATTTTCAGTTCAGTTTATTTTTTAGTTTTATGTCTGTTTTTCTTTTTATGAATTGTAGTTATCTCATGAAAAAATCTTTTTCTCTCTTTTCTTAAAAATATTAGTAATAGTTATTTTGAACTTAGAACTCTAATATCTAAATCACCTCTAAATCTTTTATGAATAATGGCAATATATCTAAACATAGACAAATAAATTATCCATAAAAGATTGGCAAACAAATGTCACAGATGTCACAAATATTTATAGATAAATTTCCCATTTTTTCTCTCGGTTTTCAGTCATTTTTGACCCTTTTTCATTAGCATGTTTTATAATTTTTTCATTAAATAGTCCCCCTGTAGAGGCTCTGGATGATTTTTTTCTTTCTAAGAGGATGCAGTTTTCTTTTGACAGGGTAAAAACATAAGCAGATCAATTCAATCCTATTGATGGTTGGTTTTAGGCTTTTTTAGGCTTTTTCTATCTAGTTTTGCATTTGTTCCTAAATTATTACCTTTGTGGGATCTCAGCTGAAAGCACAGAGTGATCTACCTCACAAGACTTAAACCCTACCCTCTATCTCCCAGCACCAATCGGTTAGTAAATGCTCAGCTCATATATATATATTTTTTTAGCCTTTCATATGCTGCTTTCTTTTGAGTTTCCTTGAGTCTTTTCTTGTGCATACACCGTTTAGGAGTGACAAACAACTTATAAATATATTGCATGCAAATTTTTGGACTTGTTTATCTGTGGTACCCTCATCTTTGTGATTTGATTCTCAATGTTAATATGTTTGGCAACCCCGAATTCTAATTTCTACCCTCTTATTTCAGTGACTGCTACTTTATGCTAACACTCTCTTTTCCTCTTAGAGAAATGACAAACGCCCTTGGGGAAAACACTTGGGTGAATGTGGCACTTACCTTATTGTTCTTCCCTCCTCTTACCTTTTCTCTTCAAGTCCTGCATTTGCTGCTCTCCTGTATCTCTAAGCACTTGTTTTGTGTGTTTTGTCAATCTTTTATAGTTGTGTAGTTGTTTTGGGGAGAATTATTTAAATTCAAGCTACTTCTCTGTGGCCAAAAGAGAAGTGCTGACATTAAGTGTGTCTTTAAAGTTATCCAGGTGATTCTGATCCACAGTTCAAAATCATTGTACTATATCAATGTAATTGAGAGGCCAGGGGATTTTAAGTGAGGCTGGAAAGGTGGATAGAGACTAGCACAAGTTGGGAATGTAGAATTAGTAAAGGTTTTGCATTTTACTTTAATAGTGATGGGAAGCTGTGAAAAGTTTTCAAGCAAGGGAATGACACAATCTTATTTACATATTGAAAAGACTACTCAGGATCCTCCACGGATAGTGGATTATAGGGAAGCAAGATAGAAATAGGAAGATATGTTAGGAAGTACTGCAGTAGTCAAGGTAAAGAACGATTGTGTCTTGGTCTAGGATAATAGCAGCATAGATCAAAGAAAATTGGATATAGCATATATTTTGGAAACCATTTGTCAGGTTTGCTGATAGGTTCAATATGAGGGATGAAAGGTAGTGAGTAAATAAGAATGGCTCTTAAGGTTTTGGCTTGAGTCACTGAATAAATGGTGATAATATTTGCTGGTGAGTAGAAGAGGGGAATAAAAAAGCAAGTTTTATGGAAGTGTTTTGGATGAATTAAGTTTGAGCTGCCTACTTGACATAAATGCAGAGGGATGAAGAATACAATTGGATATTGGATTTGAGCTCAGGGGAGATATCACATTTGAAGATAAAATTTTGGGGATCAGTACTCTGTACATAGTATATAAAGGCATGAAACCAGATAAAATCTTTTAGATGATCTCCAACATGGGAATAACAATAACAATAGTTATTTCAAAGGGCTGTTTTAAAGATAAAAGTAGAATTTTATAAATGTAACTTATAAACTATAGAAATGTATATTTTTTGTTATATTTTCTAATCCAACCCTATTATGTAATTTACATAGAAATGATTAACTGCAGGCAGGGAGTAGATAGAAAAGTTATGTATTTTACACATTTTCTTGGATAATACAGACACCCTTCAGATGGACAGATATAAAGTTTTTATCATTTTTAATTCCCACATTTAATCATAAATATAGAATTGTTTTAAATATTGGAAACCTAAAATATTGATAAGTCAGCATTTCTCTGCAGGGATTATATATGGATATCTGTGAGGGATCCTGGATAGTTGAATGTTTGGACTTATTTATCACTTCCAATTTATTTCATGGGAAATCAAATGTATATTAATTGCATTTTTCCCATGCTCAAGTCACTGTGCTAGGCCATGTAGGAGATATAAGTATGTTATAAACCCTGTCCTTACAAGAAAACAGTATAATCAAGGAGCAAAGAAGTAGGACAGAATAAAAGTAGATCATATGTTTGTGTGCATGTGTTTTCAGAGAAGAAAATACTGTCAGGTTGGAAGCAATTGAACCCACGCCATGAAAGAGGTAATATCTGAAATACATCTTGAAGGATGGTCAGTTTATGAATATATCACAATATTTTGAATGAGCAGAATAGTAATAAAATTTTTAAATAGGCAATAAAAAGTTTTAGGAAGAAGTAAACTTAACTCTTCTTTGTAAACAGTATTTCTAAATTATGATCCAGAAAAAGAATCATACAGTCCTTGTAGAATTTAGTGAAGATTATGTGTAATGTAGTATTGTGGCAGAAAGTAACTGACAACGTGCTGATTAGGTGAGGACTTTTTATTGGACTTTCTGGTATGAAGGATGAGCCTCATTTGATTATCAGATTTCTGATTTTGTTGACTAGGTAGTGCTAGTGACAGTCTTTGAAATAGGAATTCAGTTCAAGAAGCAGGATTTGATAAAGAAAATGAGTTAAGTTTTTGACATGAGTTAAAAGATACCTTTGAGGTGCCTTTTGGAAATCAATGTGGATATGTCTTATGGACACTTGCAAATATCTGACTCTCAAGCTTAGAGTGATGAGGTTTCTCTCTCTCTTTCTCTCTCTCCTTCTCTCACCTTGTTCATGTGTGTATGGTATGGGTATATGACTTTGTACAAACTCATCAAATTGTATACATTAAATATATGCAGTTTCTCTATATTACTTATACTTCAATATAGCTATTTTTTAAAAAAGCAACAGAGTGAAAAAAAGCACCAAGGTTATTATTGGAACTTTGGGGAACATAGTGTTTCCAATGGTTAAGTGTTTGTGAGAAAACTCCTTGAAGATTGAGAACGAGTGTTCAGAGATGCAGAAAGAAAACCAGAACAGAATGGTATTTGGGAAATAACAGGTGTAGAAATTTTCAAAAGAAATACATGAGCAATGTAAGAGTTGTAATAGAGTAGCAAAATCAAGATTAAACACTGGACAGGTTAATATAGAGGCCATTAATGATTTTGAAAGATCTATTGCAATGAAGTGATAGGGGAAGAAACTAGATTTCAGTGAATAAATAGTAAATTTAATGAAAATAAAATAGAAATTATAAACTTTTTTTCCCCAAGAAGTTGTCTGATGCTAATGGGTGTGGGTTTTCTTTTAGGGGTGATAAAACTGTAAAATTAGATTGTGGTGATGGTTGCACAACATTGTGAATATGCTAAAAAAATTGAATTATAAACTTTAAATGGGTGAGTTGTATAATATGTAAGTTATTTCAATAAAGATGGTACAAAAGTAGTCCAAGCGTAAATGAGAAAGATAAGAGAAACGTGATCAAGATTGTAATTCGTTTTTGTTTTAAGGATCAGGGCCTGTTTACAGCTTGAGACAAAAGAGGGGAAGAGATTGAAGTTACAGGTGAAACAGATGAGATACTCCAAGAAGCATGGTTCATAGACAAGAGGCTATGCAATCAAGTATTTCTCAGATTAAGAGAAATAGGCATAGATGTGGGCATAGATGGAAACATTTTTAGATGTAAGGGCATGAGTAAAAGTCATTTAAATCTGATCACCCCAATTTTCTTGATGAAGTGGAAGTTGTTTTCTTGAATAAAAGAAGGAAGAGTGGTACAGGGAAAAGTAGCAAAAACTTGGATATTAGCTGAGAAGAATAAAGTAAGACCAAGTGCATTAATGTCGTATTGCTGCTGTAACAAATTACCACAAACCTAGTAGCTTAAAACAACCTAGATTTGTTATCTGAGAATTCTAGAGTTCAAAAGACCAAAATCAGTTTCACTGTGCTAAAATTAAGGTGTCAGCTAGACCTACATTATTTTCTGAAGGCTCTAGGGGAAAATTTTGTCCCCTTGACTTTTTCAGCTTCCACAGGCTGCCTACATTCCTGGATCATGGCCCTGTCTTCTAATTTCAAAATCAGTGGCATATCACCTTCTGTCTTCTCTAACCTCTGCCCATGCTTACATCTTTCTGTCCCTCCTTCTGATCATCTTGCCTCCCTCTTAGAAGGATGTTTGTGATTAGATTGGGTCCATCCAGATAGCACAAGATAATCTCCCTATATAAGAATCTTTAAGTCAATCACATCTGCAGCCCTTTTACCATGGAAGGTACCACCTTCACAGGTTCCAGGGACTAGAATATAGATATCTTCGGGGGGGGGGCCACTATTTACCTTACCCACCAAGGTCAAGAAAAAGGAATGTGAACAAGTGATTAAAATTTGACTGAAATTGGAGACTACCAATATTTAATGGTGACAATCTGTTTAACTGTGTGATTGCCATCATGCAAATAGAACCCCATGATCTGCCTTTTCTTTTGAAAATTCTTATGGTCATTTTACAGAATGAGCTATCTTTCTGAAGCCCTTGTGTCACGAGAGCTGAAGGACACTTTGTGCAGGAAAGGAAACTGGTCCTGGTACTTCTATGGCACACAGAGATAGGGTTGTTTACAGAGTTGGTGAGGTGGACATGCCTGTGTAGTAAAATAATTTTGCCCTGTAATTATCAATGAATTGCCAGGAGTAAGTTTACACACAGTTATGTTGCCCATACACAACGTTGCTGTTTGCTGAGTCCAGAGTTGGACTGTGTTCACTAGATAAAATCATAGAGAGGCTACTGTGTGGTTGAAAGATACACAAGCTTGAAAAAGACAATTGATTCCATCCAATCACAATAAGATTACAGAAAAAAATCTCGTAAGCAAAGAATCTTTGGGTTCTTTATACCAGTTCCCCATAATTTCCCCACTTATACTTGACTGGGAGTTCTTTATACCTTTGCTATCAAGCAGTTCTCATACACCAGGTGAATAATGTGAGATTTAGACAGTTGTCGTTGTGGAGTAGTCTTTCTCCAGATAAGGCACAGACTGACTGGTAGCAGAGACAGAACTCTTCAGTCGCTAGTCCTCTAAACACGTATACTTTATAAACCACTGGAGGATTGAAGTATCTTTTTATTATCTGTTTTATCACTAGAATGTAAATTCTATGGGGTAAGAAATTTATCTGTTTTATAAACCAAGGTGTCTTCAGGGCCTAAACGAAGTCTGAAACATGCTGAGTGCTGAATAAAAATTTGTTAAAATTTTGAGTTCAAACTCAAATTTGTTGAAAAACATGAGTAAAAGAATAAAACAAAACTCTACAATTTATTAGCATTATTATTTTTATTTTAATTACTTTGTAAACAAAGACAGCCTAGAAATATGCAGGTAGGTTTTGGACAAATAGAAGAAATTAAAGCAGAAAATTATAAAATGAAATGGATGTGGGAGTTCAAGAAAGATTAAAACAAATTTTAAAACATGGTGGATTATAGTTATCGATCTTCTGAGGATCCTAATTTATATAAACTAGCAGCATCTCCAGAGACATTGGTACCACCATCCCATAGATACTATGGGATACTATAATGCTTTCTTTCATTACTCATGTTCTTTCTTTTATACATATATATATATATTTTATTATACTTCAAGTTCTAGGGTACATGTGCACAACGTGCAGGTTTGTTACGTATGTATACATGTGCCTAGTTGGTGTGCTGCACCCATTAACTCGTCATTTACATTAGGTATATCTCCTAATGCTATCCCTCTCCCCTCCCCCCACCCCACAACAGGCCCCAGTGTGTGATGTTCCCCTTCCTGTGTCCATGTGTTCTCATTGTTCAATTCCCACCTCTGAGTGAGAACAAGCGGTGTTTGGTTTTTTGTCCTTGTGATAGTTTGCTGAGAATGATGGTTTCCAGCTTCATCCATGTCCCTGCAAAGGACATGAACTCATCATTTTTTATGGCTGCATAGTATTCCATGGTGTATATGTGCCACATTTTCTTAATCCAGTCTATCATTGTTGGACATTTGGGTTGGTTCCAAGTCTTGCTATTGTGAATAGTGCTGCAATAAATGTACGTGTGCATGTGTCTTTACAGCAGCATGATTTATAATCCTTTGGTATTATTATAATCCTTTGGGTATATACCCAGTAATGGGATGGCTGGGTCAAATGGTATTTCTGGTTCTAGATCCCTGAGGAATTGCCACACTGACTTCCACAATGGTTGAACTAGTTTTCAGTCCCACCAACAGTGTAAAAGTGTTCCTGTTTCTCCACACCCTCTCCAGCACTTGTTGTTTCCTGACTTTTTAATGATCACCATTCTAACTGGTGTGAGATGGTATCTCATTGTGGTTTTGATTTGCGTTTCTCTGATGGCCAGTGATGATGAGCATTTTTTCATGTGTCTGTTGGCTGCATAAATGTCTTCTTTTGAGAAGTGTCTGTTCATATCCTTCGCCCACTTGTTGATGGGGTTGTTTGTTTTTTTCTTGTAAATTTTTTTGAGTTCTTTGTGGATTCTGGATATTAGCCCTTTGTCAGATGAGTAGATTGCAAAAATTTTCTTTCATTCTGTAGGTTGCCTGTTCACTCTGATGGTAGTTTCTTTAGCTGTGCAGAAGCTCTTTAGTTTAATTAGATCCCATTTGTCAATTTTGGCTTTTGTTGCCATTGCTTTTGGTGTTTTAGACATGAAGTCCTTGCCCATGCCTATGTCCTGAATGGTATTGCCTAGGTTTTCTTCTAGGGTTTTTATGGTTTTAGGTCTAACATGTAAGTCTTTAATCCATCTTGAATTAATTTTTGTATAAGGTATAAGGAAGGGATCCAGTTTCAGCTTTCTACATATGGCTAGCCAGATTTCCCAGCACCATTTATTAAATAGGGAATCCTTTCCCCATTTCTTGTTTTTGTCAGGTTTGTGAAAGATCATATGGTTGTAGATGTGTGGTATTATTTCTGAGGGCTCTGTTGTGTTCCATTGGTCTATATGTCTGTTTTTGTACCAGTACCATGCTGTTTTGGTTACTGTAGCCTTGTAGTATAGTTTGAAGTCAGGTAGCACATTACTCATGTTCTTTCTTTCAGAAATAGGTCTTAGTAGAAAGTAAAAAATTTCAGTAGGCATACCGTGTCACCTGGAAAGAGTAGAAACACAAAATCCACTTGAGGAATTCATTTTTCTATTTTTTGTGTGTGTACTTACATTTTACCCCTTCAGTTTCCATCTAAGCCAATCATAGTTTCTGAGAGCCCAGGGTCCTGTGGATAAGCCGCTTCAGTGCAGCCTTCACTTCTTTATTCCTTGAGCTGTAGATGATGGGGTTCAACATGGGAGTCACCACTGTGGAAGAGAGTGACAGCAGCTTCTTGCTCTCAGAAGAGGCACTGGATTGGGGTCGGAAATACGTGAGGATGGCAGTGCTATAGAAGAGAGAGACAACCAAGAGGTGGGCGGAACAGGTGGAGAATGCCTGATGTTTCCCCTCAGCTGACGGCATCCTGAAGATAGTGGAGAGGATGCGGACATAGGATCCCAGGATCAGCAAGAAAGGAAAGAGAATGAATAGGACAGTGGCTGTCAGAGCCTCCAGTTCAAACACAGAGGTGTCAGCACAGACCAGTGCAATAACAGGAGGGCTGTCACAGAAGAAGTGGTTCACCCTGTTGGGGCCACAAAAAGGGAAACTGAAAATCCATGTGGTTTGCACAGTGGCCACTGAAAACCCTGAGAACCAAGAGGCAGCTGCCAGCTGGGCACAGGATATGTGGCCCATGATGACTGGGTAGTGCAAGGGGTCACAGATGGCCACGTAGCGGTCATATGCCATGGTGGCCAGGAGGCAGCACTCAGCAGCCCCAAAAAAGAAGAAGAAATACATCTGAGTGGCACATCCAAGGAAGGAGATGGTTGTGTCTTGAATGATCAGGGTCCCCAGCATCTTGGGCACAATGACCAAGTTGAAACCTATCTCCAGGAAGGACAAGTTTCTGAGGAAGAAGTACATAGGACTTTGTAGTGCAGAGTCAGCTATAGTGACCAGGATGATGAGGACATTGCCCATTAAAGTAACCAAGTAAATGGTCAAGAAAAGGAGAAACAGTAGAGCCTGAAGCTCAGTGGACAGGGCTGAGAAGCTCACGAGAACAAATTCACTGACAATTGTCCAGTTTTCCCACATCATTCTTCTGCCCAGGACTTCACTGGGCATTCAAAATCTAGGAAGGTAGAAGAAATCTCATATGTTATTTATACCTTTATTATATTCTTATAAAGGGGACCTCCTGTGGCCTCATTCTTTACTTTCCTTGTTAGAGTTGTTGAGGATCAAACATCTATACTCTCCAAAATATAATAAAACAAATTTGACCATTAGATTCACAATTTTTGGGGAAAGAATTCTACTTTTCCAGACTTAATTAACATACTATATATATCTATACATGTCCTGATTTTTCTGTTCTCTGTAGAGAATGGGCAAAATCACAGCTTTATGTTCATGCTCCTACCTTATCTCTCTTCAATAATGGTGCTAAGAAAGGCAGGCCAAGCATTTATGAAGAGAGAGGTCGTGACACATAATGAAAAGTGGTGAGGTCAGGCAGGTATATTTTTTGCAAAACAAAAATGTAGGAAGGAGAAAATCAAAGAAACTGATTCAGCAATTACTAAATGATTCCTGAGGAGGAGATCCGAATGTGTCTCAATCTCAAGAAGCCCATACTCAGGAAGGTTTCACTATATTGTGAGAATCTCAATTTCTACACTCTGAAAATTGCAGTGTAAACAAGAAGACACACAACATAGTCAGGGTGGCTTATCTTGATCCCAGGGATGAGTATTTTCCAAGTGGTTGTATGTGTCAAGATAGCATCAGAACCATGGACAGAATCTAGATGGGTTAAGCATGAACTTTTTCATCAGCTCTCTTGGTTGACTTGTGTCTTGACTCTCAAGAAACTTGAAGCTCACATTTTACATGTTAATAAAATACAACTTAAATATGCAAGTGTGACTAATATGAAATCCCATGAAAAGGAAACAAAAGATTTCATCATTGCATTAATAACGAAGCTTCAAAATTGGGACCCTGAAATTCTTTGTGATGACTATAAACATATGGAGGAATAAAATCTGAAGCACTTAGCATGTTGTCTGCTATACTGTACATGTTCCATGAATGTTAACCATTATAATTATTGATATAATGCTAGACCTATCTTCTAAATCTTCTTATCCAGCTCATTGCCAAAACTCACTATAGCCCCTACTATTCAATCTCTAAAATAAAATAATTAATTCAGTAAATATTGATTATCAGAAGATAATTCTGTATGCTATGCTCTGTTTTAGATACTGAAGATAATACATTAGTAAATAAAACAAGCAAAAATCTCTGCCCTCATAAAACTCATCATAGGGAAGACAGGTTATAAACAAATTCTGTTAAGCCAGGCACGGAGGCTCACGCCTGTAATCACAGCTCTTTGGGAGGTGGAGGCTGGCTGATCACCTGAGATCGGGAGTTCAAGACCAGCCTGACCAACATAGAGAAACCCTGTCTCTACTAAAAATACAAAATTAGCTCGGCGTGGTGGTGCATGCCTGTAATCCCAGCTACTCAGGAGGCTGAGGCAGGAGAATCGCTGGAACACGGGAGGCGGAAGTTGCGGTGAGCCGAGATCACACCATTGCACTCCAGCATGGGCAACAAGAGCAAAATTCCACTCAAAAATTAATTAATTAATTAATTATGTTAGTAGAAAGTATGGTATATAAGAGCAATGGAGAAGAATAAAGTAGTAGAGAAGGAGACAAACATTTAGAGGTGGAAAGTGTCAGGGAAAGCTCCACTGAGAATATGATATTTGAGTAAAGTTCTGAGCAGGTGCAAGAAGTGAATTTAGGTTGGTGAAGGAAAGAGGGCGGTAAAGAGAAAAAAATGAGAAAATGCTATTTTAATTTTTTTGCTGATTCATATTCATTTAAAACAATTCAACCAAGGAATCACTTCTTTTATGAAAACATCCTTGATACCTCATCTACTTTCATAGTAAGAATGAGCATTTATGAAGCAGCAAATAAGCACCACACACCGTTCTAAGTGTTTTGCATGTATTATCTTATTTGATTCTCACAACACCTGAAGATACAGATAGTATTATACCCATTTTACAGTCAAGGAATCTGAGACACAGATAAGTTGAGTAGTTTTTTCAGCAAGTGTTGGAATCCTGGGTGGCTGAGTCCAAGTCAGGGATTTGGCCGACAAGTGACACTTGCACTCATTTTTTCAGAATGGGAATAAATCTGAGCCCACAGGTGAGGACAAGCCAGTATCCAGTACAGGGTGGTAGTAAGAACAAAGCAACACAATTTCTAAAGATGGGCAGAAAATTTCAATATATTAGTAACATTGGAGAACTGGAATACCACTTTCATAGTTCTTATTTTAGAATAATCATTATTGTATGTATTTGTCTCATACAGTAGATGACATGCTCCTTGAAATAGAAATTGTGTTATTCATTTTTTTACCCCAATGCCTAGAAAGGTAGATGCCCAGTAAATTGTTATTGAATAATTTAATAGATAATGAAGAAAATGTGGTAAATAATCAGGGAAACATCTACACAGACACAAAGTAGGTACAGTGAGCCCCATTCATAAGGAATTTAGACAAAGGCACAAAAGAATATAATATAGCATCATACAATTCACACGGACTGAAACAATGATAAGAGATATAAATGTGCTTGTCTGCTTCCTCCACCTCAAACCTCCTCTTTGTAGATACCCCATTTCAGTAAATGGCACCACCCCAAAGTACAAGCCAGGAACTGGGATATAATCCTTTAATTTGTGCCCCAAATTTGATTATTTTTACTCCTAAACACTAATTCAGTGTCACCTTCTCCAGCTCTACCACCACTGCCTTTAGGTTCTGGATTTATTTTCTCTGGCCTAGAGTATGGTAGGAACCTGCTTCTGGTTCATTCTCTTCAAACCATCCTTGGTTTGTATGTGATCTGTCTTATCAGCAACTGTCTTACCAGTTGCTGTCTTAACCAGCAACTCTGGTTAAGTCACTTACCTGCTTAATGTCTTTCAATTACTCCGTATGGCCCCTGGGATAAAGTAAATCCTTTAACAAGGTCTTTTCCTGTGATCTCTGCTTATTTTTCCAGTTTCAAATCCCCAGTGTAGCTGATTTTTCAGTGACACAAAAATGCTTTGTGTTCCTTACACACATCATAGTCTCTCAGCACTCCTGTGTTTGTGCATGTGGCACTCTTCTGTTGGAATCCTTTCCCTGAAACTATGTACAACTTTTTCTTTAGGTTTTGGGTTATTCTTGTTTGCTTTACTTCAAATTCTTTACCCATACTAAGGACTACCCCCTACCCCAGTACAAATTGTCTCAGCATCAAGCATCATTGTTCTAATCCAAGCATTGTTGGTATTTTCATTCTACTGTTGTTGTATATTTTAAATATCTACTGTGGCAACCTCCAGCCTCAATGAGCTGCCTGCCTGGGCAGTCTACATTGTCTCTCTGGGAACCAAATGTTGTTTCTACTAATGCCTTGTCTTTAAAGTTGCATGTATTTTGAGTCTAGCCCTAACCCTAGCCCTACTTCCCCATAATATTTTTAATGTAAAGGTTTGCATTACATAAGCTTTTCAGGAATGCCTACGTCATATTAAAAGGGAAATACTTGGCCTGGCATGGTGGCCCACGTCTGTAATCCCAGCCCTTGGGAGGCTGAGGCAGGCAGATCACTTGAGGCCAGGAGCTCCAACATGGTAAAACTGCATCTCTACTAAAAAATACAAAAAAAAAATTAGTTGGGCATGGCTTGGCACGCCTGTAATCCCAGCTACTCAAGAGGCTGAGGCATGAGAATTGATTGAACCCAGAAGGCAGAAGTTGCAGTGAGCCAAGATTGTGCCATTGCACCCCAGCAGCCTGAGTAATAGAGCAGACCTTTGTCTCAAAAAAAAAAAAAAAAAGAAAGAAAGAAAAGAAAAGAGAAACACTTGTGTTGCATGCAATGGCTCACACTTATAATCCCAGCACTTTGAGAGGTTCAGGCAGAAGGATTGCTTGAACTCAGAAGTTCGATACCAGACTGGGTAGCATAGCAAGACCTCGTCTCTACTAAAAAAAAATTTTTAAATGGCCAGGCATGGTGATGTACGCCTATAGTCCCAGCCACTAGGGAGACTGAGGCAGGAAGATGGCCTGAGCCCAGGTGTTTGAGGCTACAGTGAGCCATAATTCTGCTACCGCAGTCCAGCCTGGGTGACAGAGAGAGAGACCCTGTCTCAAACACAAAACAAAACACCAGAAACACTTGAACAATTCTTATTTTTGAAGAGTTACAGAAAAGTTGGAGGAAGACAAACATGTAAAAATAAGTACATGTACAGTTTCTACATGTAGTATATACAAAATTTAATGTATTTATTAATAAACTTGAAATGGGTGCATACAGAAAGAGTGATTTCTGCTTCTTGAGGAATCACAGTGGGGTCTTGAGAGATGGGATAGATTTGGCTAAAATAAAAGTGAAAAACAACCTTTCAAGAAGAGAAAATAAAACACCAAGACATCACCAATTGCTAATCGTCTAATCTATAACTCAAGTTTCAATGAAATGCACACCTTTCCTCTGATTTGATCATCTGTTTCTTTCTTATTCTTCAAAATTTATTTCATTCAAATTAAAATTTCATTGAGTTTTTATAAAATATTAAATAATCGAAATTCTAAATATTTCATGAGAAATGTTATTGTTGAGTTGTGGGGAAACAAACACCTCATAAATTGCTGGTGGGAGCATAAAATGGTGCAATAAGTTCAGAGGGGAGCTAGATAGACAATCAATATATATAGCAACATTATGTATGTATTTAACTTTTGCCCAAGAAACTCAATTTCTAGATTTCTATTTGTCAGGTACACTAGCAAAAATATAAAAACAGATATATGGATAAGTCCATTATTTACAGCATGATTTGTAGTAGTAAAAGACTGGCTAAATAAATTAGGGCACATCTACAAATAGAGTACTACCAGATTATAAGAAGGAGAAATCTTGTGGTTAAAGAAGACTTATTCTGGAGCTTTGTTCTCATCAAAGCAAAGCTATGACTGAAATTTACGATATTACTTCAACAAAACATAAGAACCTGAATATGGAATAGAGATCTTAGGGAAGCTCAGGTTGTTTTTCTTGGGAAGAATCTAGTGTGAAGGAAATAATTATTGGGGTTATAAAGGCATATGCATGTGAACTTTTGATCTACTCTCATACATGCATACTGCATACCAGTAAGCTTAAAAGAACTAACACTGCTTAAGGGCATGAGAATGAAGTAAGATGGTGAGGAGAGTTATGTGTTGGGAAAGATCATGAGATTTTCTGTCATGAATGTAGAGTCAGATCTGCCCAGAAGAGGAAAAGTGACAAGATGATTTTTATTGGGTTTTACCCTCTGTTACTATGTGTGCCCCCATGTTATAATGACTAGCAGTTTCATATTGTGCACAATGCACGTCACACAGAAATATAAACACCGGCCAGGCGCGGTGGCTCACGCCTGTAATCCCAGCACTTTGGGAGGCCGAGGCGGGTGGATCACGAGGTCAGGAGATCGAGACCATCCTGGCTAACACGGTGAAACCCTGTCTCTACTAAAAAAATACAAAAAATTAGCCGGGCATGGTGGCGGGCACCTGTAGTCCCAGCTACTTGGGAGGCTGAGGCAGGAGAACAGCGTGAACCCAGGAGGCGGAGCTTGCAGTGAGCAGAGATGCGCCACTGCACTCCAGCCTGGGGGACAGAGCGAGACTCCGTCTCAAAAAAAAAAAAAAAAAGAAATATAACACCTGGAAATAGTTGGCCACAGAAGTGCTGTCATACCAGTTGAAACAAGGAAAACAATGTAAGTCTACAATGGGCAGGCAGAGGAGTTTTCATAGTTGGTGGTGCTAGGTCGAAACTACTTCTCTGCTCCTTTCTCTCCACTCAGCTTTCCAAAAGCCATTTCAGCAACAGGACTTCATCTTATTGGAGATGTGGAAAGATGCAGAGAGGAATCTCAAATCTGGGACTGATTGTTTCTCATCCAGTAAAATGTAGCCTTACTTCCTAAGGTCTATGGGATACAGTTTCTGAGGGCTAGGGCCTTAGAGACCGTCCTGCTGAGGGCATTCTTCACCTCGTTATTTCTCAGGCTGTAGATAATGGGGTTCAACATGGGAGTCATAACAGTGTAGGACAATGATAGCAGCTTCTTGCCCTCAGGTGAATTATTTGATTTAGGCCGGAAGTAGGTGAGGCTTAATGATATATAGAAAAGAGAGACAACAAGGAGGTGTGAGGAACATGTAGAAAAGGCTTTATTCTTCCCTTTAGCTGATGGGATCTTGAGGATGGCAGCAGCAATGTGAGTATAGGAACACAAGATCAGCAAGCAGGGGATCATGACCACCAGAATGGTTCCGACGATGGCGTAGATCTCAAAGAGTGCTGTGTCTGCACAGACCAGCCTCAGCACAGGTGGGCTGTCACAGAAGAAGTGGTTCACCTTGTTGGTGCCACAGAATGGAAAACTGAAGAGCCATGTGGTCTGCACAGTAGCTACAGGAAAGCCTGGGAACCAGGAGGCAGCAGCCAGTTTGGCACGAGTCCTTTGGTTCATGATGACTGGGTAGTGCAAGGGACTGCAGATGGCCACATAGCGGTCATATGCCATGGTAGCCAGGAGGAAGCATTCAGCCACTCCAAAGAAGAAGAAGAAATACATCTGAGTGGCACAGCCAAGGAAGGAGATGGTTGTGTCCTGGGCAAGCAGGGTCCCCAGCATTTTGGGCACAATGACTAGGTTGAAGCCAATCTCCAGGAAAGATAAGTTTCTGAGGAAGAAGTACATGGGGCTGTGTAGCATGGGGTCAGCTAGGGTAACCAGAATGATGAGGCAGTTTCCCATCAGGGTGACCAGGTAGATGGTTAGAAATGTCAGAAAGAGTAATGACTGTATTTCAGTAGGCAGGGAAGAGAAGCTCATGAGGATAAACTCACTTATTCTTGTCCAGTTTCCTGTAGCTATAAGTGTGGGCAGAAGTCCCCAACTGTGGTCATGGAGAAAGATTATTGATTGGAAGTCAGATTCTCAATTTGTTTTTCAGACTCGTTCTTACTGTCAGGGAAAGAGGCAAGGTCAGCACCTCAGGCAGAGGAAGTGCCTTGGGTTGTCTAAGAATAAAACACAATAAATAGTAGCCAGAGCCTAATCTCTGAGATGGGCCTGAATCAGCTTCTAGAGGAGCTGATATTTCTGTTCACACCTTAAGTTATTCAGAAAGGGCATGCAAAGTCAGAATCACAAGTTTCTGAAGGGTCCATCAAAGGATACATTTTGGGAGAAAGTGATGTTTCTGAAAACACTTAAACTTATGAAACACACCAAGTGTTTATAATCTCGTAAAAGAACACATACATTTAAATTTATCAAAACTTTAGAAATATATTTATAACTATCATGAAGAATGCATATAATATGTTTTCTACTCTTCATGAACCTTTCTTGACTGGCTAGAATTTGAGAGGAGGGTGAAAGGTTAGCATGTATTGAGGACCATTTACATATGCATGTTTTTGTTCTTTTATATCTCTGGTTTATACATGAGGAAACTGATCCCAGATAATTTAAGAAACACAAATCACATGGAAGATCTTGAATCCAAACCACATCTATTGGATTACAAAACCCTTCAGATTTTTACTAAATCATGCTTTGTTGGACTGTCATGCCTTATCTGATGACTAACTTATTAATTTGTAGGAGAATTAGAATTGGCATTTCTGCAAAATCACAGTGAAGACAGACAAAGATAAGCACGAGAACCAACATCATTAGCATTAAGATGTTTAGGAGATTTCCTAGACACAACTGAATCCCAATTTTGTATTACTGGTTTCTAATTTGCAGTTGGTTATCTAGAGGCTCTTCTTATTGTATTCGTAATCTAGAATATTGAAGTCTAGTGGAGAAATGGTGATATTAAGCTGGAAAATGAAATTGAGAGGCTGGGATAAATAAAAAAAGAAATGAATGTGGTTAGCAAACTCTGGTTAAAAAAAATTAATAATAAAAATTAAAAACTTTATTAGGAACAGTAAAAACCAGAACTGACACAAAGTAAAAGATAAACAAAGATATGGTCAGTGTTTTGGATATATTACATTAATAGACTTATATTACATGCTGAGAATTTTGGACTTTATTTTATAGATGAGGAGATTCACCTGAATATTTGAAGCTGCAGAGTGACATTGTCATAATGCTACTTAGAAGGATCACTCTGACATTGTTGATAGAATGGGATAGAGAAGGGATCAAAAGCTGTAGGCCTCGGATCAAGAAGACTAGGTGGTATATCTATAATTACCCTCCGTCTTTACGCACAATCCATTTTCAAGCAGCAGACAACTTATTTAAAAGAGGCTAAATATTAGTCAGGTCTTGGTGAATAATTTGAACTTCAAGGTTATGTTTAAAATTCCAGAGAATCTATGAAGGAAAAAACACCATTCTTATAAAAGAATTATAATCAAACTGATCTAAGATTTCTCAGAAATGCTAAACATTAAATGAAGCAATGTCTACAGTTTTTAGCTCGGTTTCAGAAAAACAAATGTAAGTTTAAAAAATAATAAAAGAACCAATGATGAAAAGACAGATCATCTCAACTAGAAACTCTTTCACTGTAGGCCAGGCGTGGTGGCTGATGCCTGTAATCCCAGGACTTTGGGAGCCTGAGGCAGGTGGATCACTTGAGCCTAGGAGTTTGAGACCAGCCTCAGCAAGGTGGCGAAACCCCATCTCTACAAAAAATGGAGAAAATATCCAGTTGTGGTGGCATATGCCTGTTGTCCTAGCTACTCAGGAGGCTGAGGTGGGAGGATCACCAGAGCTCGGGAGGTTGAGGCTACATTGAGCTGTGATTGTGCCACTGCACTCCAGCCTGGGTGACAGAGTGAGACTCAGTCTCAACAAAAAAGAAAAAAAAAGTAAAGTAAAAAATAGAAACTCTCTTACTGTCATTCCAAGGCAAGCCAGCCCATAAGTAAACAGAAAAGGTTATGGGAGATATGAAGACAAAACACTTTAGGTTAATGAGATGAAATTCAAGATATCAAATCAATTGTTTCCCTTTTCAAAAACAAGAGTCTGAAAGGAAGTTGAAAGACATTAAATTGTCTTTATTACTTACTCTCAACAAAGCCCTATAAAATATTGAATATCGAGGCCAGGCACGGTGGCTCATGCCTGTAATCCCAGCACTTTGGGAGGCCAAGGCAGGAGGATCACTTGAGGCCAGGAGTTTGAAAACAGCCTGGCCAACATGCTGAAACACCCTCTCTACTAAAAATACAAAAATTAGCTGGCCGTGGTGGCACATGGCTGTAATCTCAGCTACTTGGGAGGCTGAGGCACGAGAATTGCATGAACTGGGGAGGCAGAGGTTGCAGTGAGCCAAGACTGCACCGCTGCATTCTAGCCTGGGTGACAGAAGGAGACTCTGTCTTAATAATAATAATAATAATATAGAATATTGAATAAGTACTCATGAAAATGACAGTGTGGGGCCAGAAAAGACCACCTGGGGGACAAAACAAAGCCATGATTATTGAAGTTAAACCTTGTGGAGCAAAATGCCAGAAACTTAAGAAAACTGAGTCAATTAGAATACAAATTTGAAAAATTACACCCAAGTTACTGGGAAAAATTATGAAAACATAACAATTATAAGAGGAATAATGAAGTAAAATACAAGAAATAAAATCACTATAACAGGTATTCCAGAATGACAGAAAGAATGGAGAGGGGTAGAAATAATATCCAAAGAAGTACCAGAGGAAGAATAAATGTCTCTGATCTAATGGAAGAGATGACTTTTTGAACCAAAAGAATCCCTAAGTATGAAAGAAAATTTTAATATATTCACACAAACATGTTTTTATTTTACTGAAAGATTTTTTTTTAATTCTGAAAATAGAGAAAAGTTCTGATAAGTAACCAAACTGGAAAATGATTAAAACAAAATAAAACAAAACAAAAATACCCCCTATAAACCACAACCAAACAAAAAAATAAAGTATTCACCATTAGGGAAATGCATATATGCTTATAAAGACCCCAATGATATATCACTACACACATATAAGAATGGGTTAAAAAAAAAGTGACAACACCAAATGCTGGTGAGGATTTGATGAATTGGATCATTCATACATTGCTCATGAAAATGTAAATAGTATCAGAGATGTTCAATCTTTTGGCTTCCCTGGGCCACATGGGAAGAAGAATTGGCTGATAAGCTAAAATTAAAAAAAAAGAAATCTCATAAAGGTTTAAGAAAGTTTACAAATTTGTGTTGGGCCACATGCAAAGCCGTCCTGGTCTGCATGCAGCCCGCAGGGTTGGACAAGCTTGGTATAGCCACTGCAGAAAACAGTTTGACAGTTCTTTAAAAAAACTAAGCATGTAACTGTGGTACAACCAGTAATTGTACCTTTGGGTATTTATCCCTGAGAAATGAAGACTATGTTCATATAAAAACATGAATATTCCTCAGTGCTGTATTCATAATAGCCTCAAATTGTTAAAAACCCAGATGATGAAACAAATTATGATGCATTTATACCTTAGTAAACTCAGCAATAGAGAGGATGAACTATTGATACATGCAATAACATGAATGAATTTACAGATAATTCTGAGTGAATAAAACAGACACATATTTTATTATTCCACTTACATAACATTTCTGTAATGACAAAATTATAGGAATGGAAAAGAGATTAGTGATTGCCAGTGACTAACGAGAGGGTGGGGACAAGAGGGAAGCAGGTCTGGATATAAAAGACCAAGGTGGGAGATTTTCCTAGCAATGGAATCCTCTGCTATGGAGGGTCATTTGGATGTTTGCAAATACTTTCATCATTACATGATTTTGTTGACAGAAATGATTATGTCTCCTGTAAAACTCCATATTTACTCACATAAAAAACTGATAAAAAGAATTGCTAATGATTTTTTTAAATCTGCTAAATATAGAGTTGCAATAAGCTTTGAACACATTTTTTAAAATAATAAAAGACAATTATCTTCTTAATTTATTTAAAAATTGTCTCTGAAAAATAGAAATTTCCCAGTCATATTTCAATGAAATCTTTGTATATTTGTGGGTCAGAATTATTGAATCAGTGTGAATATTTAGTAAGCATAGCCAATTGTTTGTTCAGTGCTGACTATTATAGTTATAAATTGAAAATTATAATTAACAGAATGAATGGCTCAATTATGAAGCATGTATTTAAGGAAATACCCTGTAATCTTTAAAGTCATTTTTGAAGAACATTTAATGCTGTCATATAATAATCACCATATAATATTAAATGAAAAATAACACAGCCTGCACACTTGTGATACATTTACAATTTTAAAAATATATGCTATATAAAAAGACTGAAAGGCTATATGCAAAATGTAAAAGTGACCTATTTCAAGTGGTAAAAGGAGGGGATTTATTATTTTTATTTTTCTGGATTTCCAAATTTTCTAAATATATAAATATATATCTAGATAAGTATATATAAATATATATTTATATATAAGAAATTTTGTAATTATATGAAAATATATAAATATATATTTTTATTCATATATATTATCATATATAGAAATATATATTCATTTTAAGATGAACATAAATGTTCATTTATATATAAATATATATTTAATATATATTTATATATACATATATGTTCATCTTACAATATATATATTTATATATGAGAATACATATTTATGAGTATAAATATATATTTATATATATAAGAAATTTTGTAATTATATGGAAAATAAATGGCAGAGCCTGAACTTAAAACAGAAAAATTTATAATTAAAAAATTGGGGTTTTCAACAAGCCATATGAAATGAACTTAAGCTACACCCGAAATGTCATCTTTGGTCTCCCACATCCATCTCTCCTTCTTCTGCTTCACTGCTGAGCTTCTTACTATTTACTGAACAGAGTTCTTTTTGCTTGCCTCTGCCTTTTCATGTGACATCATTTCTGCCTGCACATCCCCTCCTCTGTCTGGCTGACTCCTTCAAATCCTCAAAACTCAGCTCTGTCTGTCATGTGATACTTCCAGATAGGATTAGTCATCTTCTCTATTTTCCTCTATCCTTTAAAAATGTTTTTAATTATTCAGATATTTCTACTACCAATATATATGTCACTCTTTAAACTTCTCCATAGTATAAACTGTCTTAGTCATCTTTATAAGAAGAAGCCCAGTGTTTTTACCAAGTAAGCTATTCATACATGTTTTTGGACAGCTGATTGTATAAAGGATTACATGAGTTCTACAAAGTTCATTCTTCTTGGAGTTTTTATTCACTATTAGAATTTTTTTTTCTCAATGACTGTTCTTTTTTTTTTGTTAGAACCGCACTTTAACTAGAAGCCTCATGACAGATGTGTTGTATGTGGTGCTGGCGGAGAAGACTGGGGAGAAGGAGGGGCAGAAACACTTGCTGGGATTTCCACAGAACTTCTGAAAACTACTGGGGAAGAAAAGCTAGTGCCCCGTCTCCAGTGTGGGAGAGGCATTGCAGAAGGTGGCAGCTCATGGCCAGCCCACAGCGTTCTTGCCAGTTCCTCTAGAACAGGGGTGTCCAATCTTTTGGCTTCCCTGGCCACATTGGAAGTAGAAAAATTTCTTGGTCACGCGTAAAATGCACTAACACTAATGATAGCTTATAAGCAAAAAAGAAAGGAAAAAAATCTTATAATGTTTTAACAAAGTTTATGAATTTATGTTGGGCCACATTCAAAGCCATCTTGGGCCGCATGTGGCCCATGGGCCACAGGTTGGACAAACTTGCTCTAGAACTTCCCTAGGAACATCCCTTTGCTAATCACCTGACTGTCCCAGGACCTGGAACCCACTCTTCTAGGCCTTCTCTGACTGTAGAATTGTTGTAAAGTAGTAGTTTGCCCTGATGTTCTCCATCTCATAAATGTTCCACTGAGGCAAGTCTTTTTTGTGTTACTTAGACGAAAATCAAGACCTGAAGGGGGTATATGTCCTGTGAAGGTTGTAGGGCCTGGAAGCTTCCTGACTCAGAAAACTTTAGAGGACAGAATTGGAAAAAGCCTGGGTAATATCAGTCTTTTTGTGAGCCCAGATCTCACTTTTCTTATGACATAGAGTAAACTGATGCCCAAGGAGAGAGGAACTGATGAGATCTCCCAGTGTGAACATAAGAATAGAATTAGGTATCCAAACTCTGATCATATTTTGTGCAGCTGAGTAACTGAACTTGGAGAGTGGCCTCTGGTAGATTCAGTCCTTGGTGGAAAAAAAAAAAAAAAAAAAAAAAAAAGGCTTACCTGTGTCCAACAGGAACATCTGCCTTGTTCAACTCTGGCTGACATCCATGCTTCATGCATGTCCTTCATGCATGTAATATAACAGCTCTATTTCTGTTTCAGCAAAGCCAAAAGAAGAACCAGGGAAGTCTTATTCCCTGTCCTGGCTGAGCTATTAATGGCTGGAGCTGTAGCCAGCTCACTGCTGCCTTGTGTGTCAGAGGCAAGTAAGCTCACTATGAAGTTTGGCCATGCTCCCAGTCCTGGTTTTGGGAGAGTTGTTCCCACCTGTGCCTCTTTTGTTCTTGGGGCTAGTCGAAGGGATGAGACCTGTATTTTTTCCCAGCTGTTTATAGGCTTTTCCTTCCTTTCCTCAGGGGACCTGGTCTTGTTTGAATCTACCATCCTTTGAGAATATAATGAATTTCAGATGCCAACAGGATAAAATTCAAGAAAGAAAAACCAAACTCCAGGCTAGGGGAAGCAGCATTGTGTAGAGAAGCACTATAAGAATTTGAAGTCAGAGCAACCTAAATTTAATCTCAGCACTGGAACTCTGGCTCATAATGCTTAGCAATTTTGTTAAACTCGCTGAGCTTTGATTTCCACATTTCTTAAAGACAACAAATGTTCTTATTTTACAGAGTTAGTGTTATGATGAAATTAAATGGCTTATATTAGTTAAACCTATTGCACGCTGAATAATTGTTCATTAAGTATCTACTAAATGTCAAATACTCTCCTAAGCATTAGGTTATGGAAGTAAAACAAAAACAGGTTTGGTTCCTGTATTCATAAAGCTTACCTTTTAATGGGGAAATGTGAACTACAATTAGATAAATTATAAGATAACAACTAAGAACATATGACTAATATAGCTGTTATTGAATCCAGAAGGAAGAAATAGGAAACTGCACGGAAAGTGGGACGCAGACATGTAGACTTTGGCGTAAGAATTTTTGCTGTTGTTATTTGGTCCTATTCTGGTCATTGTTAAGGAAAATGTAGGAGACATCATCCCCAGTCTCTTGGGTGTTCAGATGAATTGAGGCTACCTAATTTTGAAATAGCTAGTGAACAATACAAGATAGAGATAAAATGATATTAAATTGATCCATGCTTTTAAAAGCTAGTCATTTTGGAGAAAGGAAAAATTATCTCTCTTTTTTTTTTTTTTTGAGACGGAGTCTCACTTTGTCACCAGGCTGGAGTGCAGTGGCATGATCTCCACTTACTGCAACCTCCAACTCCCTGGTTCAAGCGATTCCCCTGCCTCAGCCTCTCAAGTAGCTGGGATTACAGGCACACACCACCACACCCAGCTTATTTTTGTATTTTTAGTAGAGATGGGGTTTCACCATGTTGGCCAGGATGGTCTCGATCTCCTGACCTTGTGATCCGCCTGCCTCAGCTTCCTAAAGTGCTGAGATTACAAGCGTGAGCCACCGCGCCCGGCCGATATTATTTTTTAAATGTAGCACCATTGTTTAAAAAACTTTTAAATTCAAGGGTATATGTCATGGGAGGTTTCCGTACAGATTATTTTGTCACCCAAGTACTAAGCTTAGTATTCATTAGTTATTTTTTCCTGATTCTCTCCCTCCTTCCACCTTCCACTCTCAAGTAGGCCCCAGTGTGTCTGTTGTTCCTGTCTTTGTATCCATATGTTCTCATCATTTGGGTCCCACTTGTAAATGAGAATATATGGTATATGGTTTTCTGTTCCTGCATTAGTTTTCTAAGGATAATGGTCTCCAGCTCCATCCATTTTCTTGCAAAGGACATGATCTTGTTCTTTTTTTATGACTGCATAATATTCCATGGTATATATGTAACACATTTTCTTTATCCAATCTGCCAGTGATGGGCATTTAAGTTGATGCAATGTCTTTACTATTGTGAATAGTGTTGTAATGAACATACTTATGCATGTGTCTTTGTGGTAGACTGATTTGTACTCCTTTGGGTATATAACCAGTAATGGGATTACTAGGTCAAATGGTAGTTCTGTTTTTAGCTCTTTGAGGAATTGTCACTCTGCTTTCCACAATAGTTGAACTGATTTACGCTCCTGTTAACAGCGTATAAGCATGCCCTTTTCTCCATAACCTTGCCAGCATCTGTTAATTTTTGACTTTTTAATAATGGCCATTCTGACTGGTGTAAGATGATATCTCATTGTGGTTTTGATTTGCATTTCTCTAATGATATTGAGCTTTTTTCTCATGTGCTTTTGGGCTGCATATATGTCTTCTCTTGAAAAGTGTCTGTTCATATTCTTTGCCCACTTTTTAATGGAGTTCTTTGGTTTTTACTCATAAATTTGTTTACATTCCTTATAGATGCCGGATATTAGACCTTTATCAGATGCCTAATTTCCAAATATTTTCTTCCATTCTATAGGATGTCTGTTTACTCTGTTCATACTTTTGCTAATGCAGCACATTTTACTTGCAAAATAATGTAAAAAAAAAATCTTGATTTCATTAATAGGAGACTGATTCAAAACTTGCAGATTTTCCGTAGATTACAATGGAATACAATGTAACTGGGGATATGCATTAATATTTATGTAAAAACTTAATATGGACACCTAACACCCAAATATTTCTTTCTAATACAGTCTTCCATTAGAAGGAACTCATGTTCCCTGGAGAAATGGCTGATTCTAGGACTGAGTTAGGAAATATGCAAGATGATCCTGGAGACTCTTGTAATGCAGAAAGTAAGAAAGTGATGAAAAAAAAAAAACCCCACATTATTGGGTTTGTCAAAGGAACACAGAAACCAAATGAAGAGCTCCCAGTAGCCAAAGCCGGAATATTTGAGCAACAAATAAGGTAGTATTGGTTTATAAGCCAACATATAAAATAAATGTTTATGAGTATATATGATGTAAATAAATGATTAAGTAAAGAAATAAATGAGGAAGAGTCAACAAGTCTGTCTGGAAGAATTCAACATAATTTATGTAGTTACTTTGCCCATAAGGAGGTGGAACATTACTCCCTACCTTTTGAGTGTGGGCTTATCATGGTGACCTCTTTACAAAGAGTACAGTATGAAAAGGGGAGAAAAGAGTAACTGATATGGTTTGGCTGTGTCCTGCCCAAATCTCATCTTGAATTCCCACATGTTGTGGGAGGAACCCAGTAGGAGGTAATTGAATCATGGGGGCAAGTTCTTTCCCATGCTGTTCTTGTGATAGCGAATTACTCTCATGAGATCCGATGGTTTTAAAAAGAGGAATTCCCCTGCACAAGCTCTCTCTCTTTGCCTGCTGCTATCCACGTAAGACGTGACTTGCTCTTCCTTGCCTTCTGCCTGATTGTGAGGCTTCTCCAGCCATGTGGAATTGTAAGTCCAATTAAACCTCTTTCTTTTGTATATTGCCCAGTCTCAGGAATGTCTTTATCAGCGGTGTGAACATGAACTAATACAGTAAATTTGCACCAGTATAGCTCAGCATTGCTGAAAAATACCTGAAAATATGGAAGTGACTTCGAACTGGGTAACAGGCAGAGGTTGAAACAGTTTGGAGGGATCGGAAGAAGGCAGGAAAATGTGGGAAACTTTGGAACTTCCTAGAGACTTGTTGAATGACCTTGACAAAAATGCTGATAGTGATATGAACAATAAAGTCCAGGCTGAGGTGGTCTCAGATGGAGATGAGGAACTTGTTGGGAACTGGAGCAAAAGTGACTCTTGTTATGTTTTAGCAAAGAGACTGGTGGCATTTTGCCCCTGGCCTAGAGATTTGTGGAACTTTGAACTTGAGAGAGATGATTTAGGGTATCTGGCGGAAGAAATTTCCAAGCAGCAAAGCATTCAAGATGTGACTTGGGTGCTGTTAAAAGCATTCAGTTTTATAAGGGAAGCAGAGCATCCTTGCAAAGTTTAGAAAATTGGAACTGCAAAGTTCAGAAAATTTGCAGCCTGACAATGTGATAGAAAAGAAAAACCCATTTTCTGAGGAGAAATTCAAGCTGGCTGCAGAAATTTGCATAAGTAACGAGGAGCCGAATGTTAATCCAGAAGACAATGGGGAAAATGTCTCCAGGGCATGTAAGAGGGCTTCATGGCAACCCCTCCCATCACAGGCCTAGAAGAAAATGTTTTCATGGGCTGGATCCAGGGTCCCCATGCTGTGTGCAGCCTAGGAACTTGGTGCCCTGCATCCTAGCCACTCCAGCCATGGCTGAAAGGGGCCAACCTAGAGCTTGGGTCGTGGTTTCAGAGGGTGCAGGCTCTAAGCCTTGGCAGCTTCCACGTGGTGTTGAGCCTGCGAGCGCACAGAAACCAAGAATTGAGGTTTGGGAACCTCTGCCTAGATTTCAGAAGATGTATGGAAATGCCTGGATGCCCAGGCAGAAGTTTCTCTGAGAAGATCCACTGGCTAGACTCATGACAGTGGCAGTGAAAATGGGTATTTAACCAAGGTTTGAGTAAGAAGATGTTGCCAAGGAGGAATTAATAGGATTAGGAGACTGATCGAACACTTCTTTGATAGCACTTATCAATGCAAAATTATAATACAGTAAAGCCTTTTCCATGGCACTGTCTTTTTGTCTGTATCTGTGTATTTACGTTTTCTCACTTAAGGAGCCAGGAGCTCTTAGAGGGATGCACCTTGTTCATTGTTGTACCTTCAGGATTCAGTATGAATATTCACTGATTAAATGAAAGAATATGTCAATGAAAAGTGGGGTAAAAGCAATAAATATGTAATAAGACATTTTTCTTTCATGATTTAGAGAATGGGAGAAAATTTTGTCTGAGAGCTTGTTGTTGTCTGACATGTGCCTTGACACCTAGGCAGAAATGTCTCAGAGACAATTTTCACTTTTCAGTGAGAATGGAACAGGCCAAGGCTAGAGAAACAACTTGGGGACTATGCATTTCTTCAGTCATTTACTGAGTACTTACTATATGCCAGGCACTGGACTAGGTGTCAGAAATACAAACAAGAATGATGAACTGCTCTTACTGTATCCTCTATGCTTATGAAGAGACAATTTCAATGTCTTCAATGCTTAACAATTATATATACAAGATATCACATGTGTACAAAGGAGAGCAAACTCAGACTTGCCTAGAGGAATCAGGGAGAGATTCATAGGAGAGAAAACACTAGAGTTGAATCTTAAATAATATGTAGGGATTAACTTGGTATGGTGAGTATGGGGTGATAGGCAAGAATAGCAGGCAGAGGAATTGAGTAAAGATATAAAGATTTAATAATAATGTCTACCTTCTGTTGAAGACGTACTCTTTTCCAAGTAGCTTGATTTAGAGAATAAAGAGCTTGCATTAGAGAATAAAAAATAACTATTCATTTCTTTCAATTACCCCAAAGAAATAGGTTACAATATGGTGATATGTCATCCATTTATGTCTATTGGCCTCAAAGGTTTTTTTCCTCTCTCTTATAACCCTCCTGAAGCCTCTTGGCTGTCCATATTACATTCCTTTACTTCCAAATATCTTTCTAGACTCTTAGATTCTTTCTTTATATTTTAGAGATTAAATATGTTATCTTAAACATGATATTTTGGAATCAGATAGACTTAGATTCAAACCCAAACTTTGACACCCATTACTTGTTACTTGGCCATATTATATACTTCTTGTTAATACCTGTGAGGAGTAAATAACACTTTATTGACAAACATGTAGCTCATATTTAACATATTACTTCCTCTCTTTACTCTGTTCACTGGGAAAAGGAGGGAACCTAATAATTTACTCGTGTTATGAATAATAGCAAATACCTATTGGGAATTTTACATAACTGATATATTACTTTAAATGTAAAAAATAACAAAGAATAGATAAAAGTCATAAAGTTCCACAGGTGTTAGTTGTTGGCTAATATCATTTGATTAGCCCACCTGTTACCTCTGCTGTCACAGAATGGCTGGCCTCTTAATATCTTCACAGTAGGTTTCATTATTCTCATTTCATCTTTGCATTAAATCCACAAGATATTATCACTCAATTCACAGAAGAGGAAATAGGAGAGAAACAGAGTGATTTTCATATCTGGTAAGTAGCAGACACACAATTTGAACTAAGGCTTTTTAGACTCCAAATTTTTGAGAGAAACAAAAAAGCACATTTAGAGAAATTAAAAATGCATGGTATAAGGGAAAAGAAAATAGTTCAGTATGATGCACTATTTTCATCATACCCCATTCAAATGTATGGATGGGAGTATGGTAAGAACTGAAATTTGAAAGAGAAACTAGAACTGGAATATAAGGTTTGTATGACATGCTAAGTACGATGGTTTCATTCTGATTATGAGGGTGATTCATAAGGAATTTAAACATGATTAAGACAGATTGCCACGTGTGTTTAGAAAGAACTCTGGGGAGACTAAGGGCTGAATGGGAATGAGGTATATGTGTAAATCTGCAGCATGACTGGAGGCAGGGAATACAATTAGGAGGCTGTAGCACTAATCCTAGTGGGAGATATAAGTCGATGCCCAAGTTTCATCTCCAGAGGAGTGATAGGTTGGAATCCTGTGAATGAACGGGATGTCTAGGAGACAGTAAACAGGGAGTATAGAAGAGGGCCAATAAATTAACTCCCAGGATCAGTTTAAAAATACTTGGAAAATAATCCAAACAATCTGCACTTAATCATGTACAGGGAATAGCAAGAAAATCCATGGTTATGGAAGGCAAGATGACAAAAGGTTGCAAAAGCAATATTCCGTTTCCGTAAGCATCCAAGAGAACTTGAAGAGCATTTGACTTCCTAAACAATCTCTCTAGACCAACAGCTGTTACAAGCCTGGGATCACTTGACTCTGTTGTCACTTCCTCCCAAAAAGGCCCTGGTCCCTCAATATGTTCTCCAGAATCATAGTCTCTGAGAGCTGGAAGTGACCCTGGAGACCTCAGAGTAAAAGCCTCAGAGTCTCTGCTAAGTTCCTTCTCCCTCTAACACAGCTACACTTAGGCTCTGTAATCACTGACTTCTGTCTTCAGTCTCCCCTACCCCTGGGGATGCTGACTAGCCAGTCTGTTAATGAGCAGTCACAGGCTGTGACCTCATTAAAAAGTAGCTAATGAGGCACTCTGTTGTTCAGGGAGCACAGTCTACTGAGGTTCCCAGTGGTCTATCTTGGGGCCTGGAAGGAAAGCTTAAGTGAATAGAAAGGATCAGATATGGGAGGGAGGACTAATGACTCAGGCTGCAGAGCCATAGCTTCAAATAAACTCATCTTGGCAAGCAGCCACCTTTGCAGCTCAAGTCCTGCTGGCCTGCAGGTAGACGGGAGTAGATGTGGTCCAGAACAGCAGTGATTTTCCTCTGAGCTGGTAGCATGTCTGCTCTGCTGTCCTATTTTGATAGGGACTTCAATTTCTGAAGATTAAGAAGAGGGTTTCCTTGCACTGAGTTTTGGTCTCATATCTCTTAACTGCTCATTTACAGAAGTCTCTGGTCTCTGTCTTATAGCCTGTGTCCCCTTATGGCCCATTTGCCATACAACTGCCAAAGTAATTTTTCCAAAATACATATCTGATTGTTTTTTCATGCTGAAAACGCTTAAATTGATTTACATAGTTCACAAGATAGCATTCAAACACTTCAGCATAGAGGACTTTCAAGATCTGATGCTTACTTACCTCATCAAACTAATCCTCCTGTTCCCAGGCCAAACTGAAGGTCGGGCTGCTATTTCTCGTGGCCCAGTAACAAGATGCAGATGAACTGGGGAGTAAGAGAGTTTTTATTTCTGAAGTCGGTTACAAGGGGAAGGTCTGGAAATTATTGCCCAACCAACTCAAAATTACAAAGTTTTCCAGAGCTTATATACCTTCTAAGCTATATGTCTACATGTAAGTGTGCATTCATCTAAAGACATTAATGATTAACTTCTTTTAATCCATAACTAAGGCCTGAGTCCTGAAGACCTTCTTCTGGAGCCTCAATAAATTTACTTAATCTAAATGGGTCCAGGTGCTGGGGTGCTTACACTTATCTTGTCTCCTGCTAAATCCCAGAGGTTTGGGAGTTCCTTCAGACCCCTTAATAAACTTGTTTGTGGGCCAGGCGTGGTGACTCACACCTGTAATCCCAGCACTTTGAGAGGCTGAGGTGGGCAGATCGTGAGGTCAGCAGATTGAGACCATCCTCACTAACACAGTGAAACCCTGTCTCTAATAAAAAAAAAATACAAAAAATTAGCTGGGCATGGTGGCACATGCCCATAGTCCCAGCTACTGGGGAGGCTGAGGCAGGAGAATCACTTGAACCCAGGAGGCGGAGCTTGCAGTGAGCCAAGATCGGGCCACTGCACTCCAGTCTGGGCAAAAGAGCCAGACTCCGTATCGAAATAAATAAATAAATAAATAAATAAAATAAATAAATAAATAAACTTCTTTGTGGAGGCCTGCGGAGTTTCTTCAGACTCACAATAAAACTTGCTTAATCCCAAATGGGTCCTGTTAAGAATTCCTTCGTTATTTTTTTATTCTTTAAGGCCTAGGCAAAACTCTTGGTGAGCTTTTTTTTTTTTTTTCTTTTTTTACATTCCAGCCTTTGTATAAGGGCACTGGCTTTTCATATTTAACCACTCAGTCAGTGCTGAAACAGTTGTTATGGAGGCCTGCGTTAGTGAGAGCTGGCCTGCCACAATCCCCACTGTCAATTTGCACATGATTCCTATCATGCTTGTATATTTACTTATCACAAGAATCACAGGGAGATGGGGCATCATAATCTTTCTGGCTACTTCTTGCTGAGAGGGGGCCATCATTATGGGGCACCGAATGCAGTGCTGGAGTGGAAGAAGTCGATTTGTTCCCAGTAGCACTCTCTGTTTTGGGGGCTTGGAGGCAGTGCCTGCTTAAACATAATAGTATGCAACAGTAACATATATAAATAGGTTGCTGCTGTTTTCTTCTGAAGTTTAAGCTGCCTAGTCTTCAGTTGACAGGGCTTTAAGAAAGCACAGCTTAGTTTCACTGAATTCCAATTAGGAAAAATGGGGAAAATGGAAAAGAAAGAGGAAAAAACTGAAAACATTATTTCGGAGACTTGTAGCCAGAAAAGTTAGAATTTAATCCAAACTGTACAAAATAATAAAAATTGAAAAACATCAGGCAGGACTAGAATTTAACAACAGCTATACTATAGTTTTTGAAACATAATTTTTCTCCAGTTTCTCATTTTTACTGAAAGACAAATCATGGTAGGACTGATTTGTTTTCTTATACTTGGTCTAATTATTTGTATACAGTGCAGCAAGAATAATTATTTTTCACATAGTCCTTTTAAATTGGCTTTGATGAAACTTTGCTCCATAGAAGGAATCTGAGATAAGACCTTTTTAAAGCCAAGCCCAGCTATGAACTTGTACCATCAAATATCTATGAGTTAGGTGAATTCCTCTCCTCTTGAGGTTCTAAGATAACTTGGAGTTCCTGGCCTGTCAGAAAGTGACATTCTTTACTTACCACAGACCAGAAACCCTGTATAGTGACTGTGTACACAAATTATGAAGCCAGTTCCAAGGGCTTTATTGGCTCCATAAGTGAAGTTTGATTCCTTAAAGGAGAGCATACTATTCCAGTCAAAGCCTTGGTAAAATAACCAGTTTCTCCAATTGTGTCCTGTAACAAAAGAAAACAGATTCTTATTGCACTTATGCAAATATCTATATTGCCATAAATTAAGAATACTCACAAATAGTTTTCAAATTCTGGAGAAATCAGATAGAGAGAAACAAAAATGCTCCAAATTTTGCTCATAGGAGTATAATTTACGTAATTGTTAAAAGCTGTTAATAGCTAAAAAGAAAAGTTCCCTTGACTCTGAAAAGCAAAATAAAGGATTAGCAACATTTTAAGCAAAAAGTCAAAAAGATCACTTCAGTCTCCTATTAGTTCAATTTATGCAGTTCATCCTGTCCTGCTTGATATTAATGAAAATTTTAGCTCTTTAATAGTCCTGAACGTTTTTACCTCTATTCTGATGTCACAATCTCCAAATTTATCAGAAACCTGCATTCAAGAGCACCTGTTAAAGCTTTACAGCTGATTATAAAACCACCTTCTAAAAAGGACCAAAACAAGATAACAATTGTTTATGGATGACAAAATGGTTTAGGGTAGCCATAGTTAAGGACACAATTGACAAGGAAATCTGTTACCTCTGTGGCACACAATAATTTAGCATAATTATAATTATTACTGATAATGAATACTAAGATATATCAGACTTACAGGAGTTTCACATGATTTTGGAACACATACCAACAACATATTTATACAAATATAGCACAAAGAAAGCCAAACCCCATTTCCTGTTTGGCTATGCTTCTTGTATGATTTTTGGCACCAAATAAACCAAATTTTACTTTTATATTAGTGTATTATTATGTAAAACTCAATTTTTTTTCTCAGTATCTATTTCAGTGGTTATACCTTGTCTTCAAGTATCTACTTTGGTAGACTAAACATAGTGGCATTCATGTACCTACATAAAACTGACCTTTCTGGTAAAATGGAAACTGAATTCCCTATCATTTTGTCCCTGCCATGCCCCTACCACAAGATATGCTCTTTCTCCGTCGTTTCTCATCTTAAAAATGAGGACTCCCATCTATTTTGTTGCTTATGCCAGAAATATGGTTATAGTCCTTGAAACCATCTTCTTCATCAATTACCACTGCAATATATCTTACCAAGTCTTGTCAATCTCATATTTCAAATACATTCTGAATCCGAACTCTCACCTTTATTGTTACTATCCAAAAATAAATCACAACTATACCAGTCTCCCTCTTTCTACTCTTACAACTTACAGTACATGTTCTACCCAGCAGCTACCATCATTTTTTTTTTTTTTGAGACAGAGTCTTGCTCTGTTGCCCAGGCTGGAGTGCAGTGGCGCGATCTCGGCTCACTGCAAGCTCCACATCCTGGGTTCACACCATTCTCCTGCCTCAGCCTCCCAAGTAGCTGGGACTACAGGCACCCATCACCACGCCTGGCTAATTTTTGTATTTTTAATAGAGATGGGGTTTCACTGTGTTAGCCAGATGGTCTCAATCTCCTGACCTCATTATCCGCCCACCTCGGCCTCCCAAAGTGCTGGGATTACAGGTGTGAGCCACTGCGCCCAGCCAGCTACCATCATTTTTAAAAATCACCCTCTTGAATCAAAATGTTTCAATGGATACCTATTTGATATGGTTAGGCTTTGTGTCCTCACCCAAATCTCACCTTGAATTGTCATCCCCAGGTGTTTAAGGTTGTGACCTGGTGGGAAGTGATTGGATTATGGGGGCAGTTTCCTCAACGCTGTTCTTGTGGTAGTGAATGAATGCTCATGAGATCTGATGGTTTTATAAATGGTAGTTTTTCCTACACTGACACATGCTCTCTCTCTCACCTGCTTTAAGATTTAATGGAGCTTTAAGATTTAATGGCTGCCCCCACCACTGGACTTCAGACTTGCATGGGGCCTGTAGCCATTTGTTTTGGCCAATTTCTTCCATTTGGAATGGAAGCATTTATACAATGCCTATATCCCATTGTGGGTAAATAACTTGCTTTTGATTTTACAGGTTCATTGGCAGAAGGGACTTACCTTGTCTCAAATGAGACTTTGGACTTGGACTTTTGAGTTAATGCTGAAATCAGTTAAGACTTTGGGGGGCTGTTGGGAAGGCATGATTGGTTTTGAAATGTAAGGACATAAGATTTGGGAGGGGCTTCGATGAAATGATATGATTAGACTTCATGTCCCCACCCAAATCTCATCTTGAATTGTAATCCCCAGGTGTTGAGGGAGAGACCTGGTGGGAGGTGACTGGATCATGGGGGCAGTTTCCCCAATGCTATTCTTGTGATAGTGAGGGGGTTCTCATGAGATGTAATGGTTTTATAAATGGCAGTTTCACATCCCATTACTGGGTATATACCCAAAGGACTATAAATCATGCTGCTATAAAGACACATGCACACGTATGTTTATTGCGGCATTATTCACAATAGCAAAGACTTGGAACCAACCCAAATGTCCAACAATGATAGACTGGATTAAGAAAATGTGGCACATATACACCATGGAACACTATGCAGCCATAAAGAATGATGAGTTCATGTCCTTTGTAGGGACATGGATGAAATTGGAAATCATCATTCTCAGTAAACTATCGCAAGAACAAAAAACCAAACACCGCATATTCTCACTCATAGGTGGGAATTGAACAATGAGAACACATGGACACAGGAAGGGGAACATCACACTCTGGGGACTGTTGTGGGGTGGGGGGATGGGGGAGGGATAGCATTGGGAGATATACCTAATGCTAGATGACGAGTTAGTGGGTGCAGCGCACCAGCATGGCACATGTATACATATGTAACTAACCTGCACATTATGCACATGTACCCTAAAACTTAAAGTATAATAATAAAAAATTTAAAAAAACTCAAAAGAATATTAAAAAAAATAAAAATAAATAAATAAATAAATAAATGGCAGTTTCCCCTGGGCTTTTCTCTCTCTCTTCCCTGCCACAATATAAGATATGCCTGCTTCCTCTTCCACCATGATTGCAAGTTTCCTGAGGCCTCTCCAGCCATGTGGAACTGTGAGTCATTTAAACCTTTTTCCTCTGTAAATTACTCAGTCTCAGGAAGTTCCTTATAGCAGTGTGGAAATGGACTAGTGCACTATTGCGTGCAGTTTAAACTCCAAAATCTTTAACATGCTCAAAAGGAATTCCTCTATGACCTGACCTCTGTCTACCTATCAAGCCATTTTTCACCTTTCTTTCCCATGTTTACAACATTTCAGCAAATATCGGTGTTCTTGTACTTTCAGAATGCACCAAGTTCTTCCTCGCCTGGGACTTCTGTGATCTTTTTCAGTCTAGAATGCCATTTTCCTACCTCTTAACCTAGTTGCAAAAATTAGCTTACATATCATCATCTAAGGAACGCTTAAATATTATTTTGTTATGATTTGCGTTGTTATTCCTTTTTTCCCTCTAGGGCAATTTTCACAACTTTTAATTTTATAAGTATAGGGCCACTTATTTAAATACTACCCAGTACATCTAGAACTTGCTCAAAGCCAAATGTCAGAATAAATACCTTACCATTTTAAGTTATTTATAAAATTTAGAGCAACCCAGTTGGATGAATTGCAATTGTGTTGACATGTTTTGAAGATTCCTGTGAAGTTGATAATTTTCTATTCTCTCTTCATGGTAATAAGTACAGTATTGTTAACTTTCTGAAAACTTTAAAACCATTAAATTTTAAGTTTCTTAGTGTTATCTAGAATTCCTAAGCATATTCTTATGAATATTATAACTATATGTAAGAGTATATTGATGTTTCCAGTTAGTAGGAGAAATAACATATTTTTAAATAAATTATGTTAGGACAATAAGGCCAGCTATTGGAGAAAAAAAAAATACCTCCTACCAGATAAATTCCACATTGCAAAAAGATTTAAATATTAAACAATGAAAGTAAAGAAGCATTAATAGAAGTAATAAAATACTATTTTTGTAGACCCAAGTATGACACCTAAGCCTGAGGAATAAAATATTACCAAAAGCAAAGTTAAGAGAGAAATGACAACATGTTAGGCTATTCTTGGGTTTCTATAAAGAAATAGATAAGACTGTGTAATTTACAAAGAAAAGGAGTTTAATTGGCTGATGTTTCTGCAGGCTGTACAAGCATGGTGCTGGCATCTGCTCAGCTTCTGGAAAGGCCTCAGGGAGCTTTTACTCATGGTCAAAGGTGAAGCAGGAGCAGGCATATTGCATGGCTGGAGCGGACGCAAGAGATGTGTGGAGCGGTATCACACACTTTTAAACAACCAGATCTCATGAAACTTACTCACTATCATGAGGATAGCACAAAACCCTAAGGAATCCACCCCTGTGACCCAAACACCTCCTATTAGGCCCTACCTCCAACACTGGGGATTATAATTCAGCATGAGATTTAGAGGGATTTCAACATGAGATTGTGAGAAAAACATGAGATCTGAGGGGTCAGGGGAGGAATAATATAGATGTCCAACTGTATTATTCCTCCCCTGACCCCTCAGATCTCATGTTTTTCTCACATCACAAAATACAATCATGCCTTCTCAATAGTCCTCCAAAAGTCTCAATTCATTTTAGCCTCAGTCACATGTCCAAAGTCTCAAGTACAGAGTCTCATTTGGAGGTGATTTCCTTCCAGTCATGAACCTGTAAAATCAAAACAAGGTATTTATTTTCAAGATACAATGGTGGTACAGGCAATTGGTAAATATTTCCACTCCAAAGGGGTGAAATGGGCCAAAAGGAAGAGGATACAGGCCCCATGCAAGTCTGAAACCCAGGAGGGCAGTCATTAAATCTTAAAGCTCCAAAATAATCTCTTTTGATGCCATGTCCCACATCCAGGGTTCATTGGTGTGAGGGGCAGGCTCCCAAGGCTTTGGGCAGTTCTGTTTCTGTGCTTTTCCAGGTGTGGGATGCAGGATGCTGGTGGATCTATCCTTCTGGGGTCTGGTAGATGGTGGCTCCCTTCCGACAGCTCCATTAGGGAATTCCCCAGTGAGGACTCTGTATGGGGCCTCCAACCCCACATTTTCCTTCAGCACTTCCCTAGTAGAGGTTCTCTGTGAGGGTTCTACCCCTGCAGCAGGATGCTGCCTGGGTACCCAGGTTTTCTTGTACAGCTTCTGAAATCTAGGTGGAGGTTGCCAAGCCTCTTTCACTCTTGTACTGTGTTCCTGCCAGCTTAACACCAAATGGAAGCCACCAACACTTTTGGCCTGTGCCTTCTGGAGTGGTGGCCCAAGGTGTACCTTGGCCCCTTTGAGCCCCAGCTGGAACCAGAGCAGCCTAGATGTGGAGAGCAGTATCCTGAGGCTGCACAGGGCAATGAGGCCCTGGTCCTGGACCCAAAAACCATTCTTCCCTCGTAGACCTCTGGGCCTATGATGAGAGTTGTTGTCACAGAGGTATTTGAAATTCTTTCAAGACTTTTTCCCCATTGTCTTGGCTATTAGCACTTGGCTTCATTTTTAGTTATGTAAATCTCTCTAGCAAATTGCTGCTCCAAAGCCTGCTTGGATTCTTCTCCTGAAAATGGGCTTTTATTTTCTACCACATGGCCAGGCTGTAAATTTTCCAAACTTTTACGCTCTGCTTCTCCTTGAAATATAAATTCCAACTTTAAATCATTTATTTGCTCCCATATCCTACCATAGGTTGTTAGATGCAGCCTGATCACATCTTGAACACTTTGCTGCTTAGATATTTCCTCCACCAGGTACCCTAAATTATCACTCTGCAGTTCAAACTTCCACAGATCCCTAGGGCATGAACAGAATGCAGCCAAGATCTTTGCCAAGGCATAACACGTGTGACTTTTGCTCCAGTTCCCAATAAGCTTCTCATTTCCTTCTGAGACCTCAGCAGCCTGGCCTTCACCATCCATATCACTATTGGCATTTTGGTCACCACCATTTAAGTGGTCTCTAAAGTTCCAAACTTTCCCTCATCTTTCTGTCTTTTTTGAGCCCCCCCAAACTTCCCAACCTCTTCCCGTTACCCAGTTCCAAAGTTACTTCCATATTTTCAGGTATCTTTATAGCAATGCCCCACTGCCAGTACCAATTTTCTGTTAGGCCATTCTTGCGTTGCTATAAAGAAATCCCTGACAGTGGGCAATTTATAAAGAAAAAGGATTTCATTGACTCATGGTTCTGATGGCTATTAAAGCATGGCACTGGCATCTGCTTGGCTTCTGGGGAGGAAGAACTTGAATCTTACTTTGCTTAATTGTAAAATGAATTTGCTTTTACAAATCCCCCATTGTTGACTAAATTATTAACTTCTGATGGCAATGATTGTGCTTTATGATATTTTGTATTTTCATATCAACAATATATAAAAACTTAAAATTTAAAGGCACTAAGCAAATATTAGGAGTCAGCTAAGATCCACTGTAAGCCTTGAAAAAAGCAGCATTATGATTGAAATTATGTTTGTGAAATTTTGAAATTACTTTAACAAGGATTAAGAACCTGAAACTGAATTTGCAAGAGACAATTGGAAATAGCTTATTCTACCTAGGAAGAATAGCCTAAGGAAGGAGTCTTTTAAGGCTATTGGGCTTATAAAGGAATATGTATGGGGATTAGTGATCCTATTTTCTCTATCCATGCTAAATATCAACAAACATAAAAGCCAACACTTCCTTAGGGGCATGTAAAATGAAATGAAGAGCAAGAATTATGTACTAGAAGTATTATAGGGTTTTCTACTGAATGGTGTCAGAATTTTCCAAACCAAGATGATGGCCAAGATGACATTTGATACTTCTCATTGTCTTGCCCATTGTGTATCCCCAAAGTCATATTACAAGTAGTTTCAGATTGTCCACAATATATGTCACATTTGTGCTCATTAGCAAAGTAAATATCTCGAATGGTTTGGCCACAGAAGTCTCAAAGTGCCAATTGCACCAATAAGAAAAACAGAGTAAGTCTACGATGGGCAGGTAAAGAAATTTAGCAGATGATAATGACAGGTTTACACCAACACTGGGCTCTCTTCTCTCCACAGAGCTTTCCAATAGCCATTTCAATAGCTGGGTTTCATTCCAACAGATATGTGAAGAGAGGCAGAGAGGTGTCCCAAACATGAAACTAATTGTCATTCAATAGAATTTAGCCTTACTTCCTAAGGTCTATGGGATACAGTTTCTGAGGGCTAGGACCTTGTGGAAGGTCCTGCTGAGGGCATTCTTCACCTCGCTATTTCTCAAGCTGTAGATAATGGGGTTCAACATGGGAGTCACAACAGTGTAGGATAATGATAACAACTTCTTGCTCTCAGGAGAATTATTTGATTTAGGCCAGAAGTAGGTGAGGCTAGAAGATATATAGAAAAGAGAGACAACAAGGAGGTGTGAGGAGCACGTAGAGAAGGCTTTATGCTTCCCTTTAGCTGATGGGATCTTGAGGATAGCAGCAGCAATGCGAGTATAGGAACACAAGATCAGCAAGCAGGGGATCATGACCACCAGAATGGTTCCGACGATGGCGTAGATCTCAAACAGTGCTGTGTCTGCACAGACCAGCTTCAGCACAGGCGGGCTGTCACAGAAGAAGTGGTTCACCTTGTTGGTGCCACAGAATGGAAAACTGAAGAGCCATGTGGTCTGCACAGTAGCTACAGGAAAGCCTGGGAACCAGGAAGCAGCAGCCAGTTTGGCCCGTGTCCTTTGGTTCATGATGACTGGGTAGTGCAAGGGACTGCAGATGGCCACATAGCGGTCATATGCCATGGTAGCCAGGAGGAAGCATTCAGCTACCCCAAAGAAGAAGAAGAAATACATCTGAGTGGCACAGCCAAGGAAGGAGATGGTTGTGTCCTGGGCAAGCAGGGTCCCCAGCATTTTGGGCACAATGACTAGGTTGAAGCCAATCTCCAGGAAAGATAAGTTTCTGAGGAAGAAGTACATGGGGCTGTGTAGCATGGGGTCAGCTAGGGTAACCAGAATGATGAGGCTGTTTCCCTTCAGAGTAACCAAATAGATAGTTAGAAATGTCAGGAAGAGCAATGACTGTATTTCAGTAGGTAGGGAAGAGAAGCTCATGAGGATAAATTCACTTATTTCTGTCCAGTTTCCTATAGCCATAAGTATGGGCATAAATCCCCAGCTGTGGTCCTGGAGAGAGATTCTTGATTGGAAGTCAGATTCTCAATCTGTTTTTCAGATTTTCTCTTAATGTCAGGGATAGAGGCAAGGTCAGCACCTCAGCTGGAAGAGGAAGGGTCTTGTGTTGGCTAAGAATAAAGACACAATAAAACGTGGTCAGAACCTAAGCAGTGAAATGAGCAATAGGTCACCTTTCTCCTCTCTTTTACGTTCCATTTTATATCTTGTTAGCCTATTTACTAAAACAAATCTGATCTTGTATCGTATTTTATTTTGAAGTTATTCAAAGTAGAAATAATAGAGGGGAATGGATGAGTGAGAATGTTTATAGGGTGTGGTTGTTTTAATGCACTTTCCCCCTCACTCACCGTAAGAATTGTAGACCACTTCAAATCACGTAATACTTATTCTTTCTTGCCAAATCAGACTGTGGGAAACAATGTTAGCAGTTTCCTCTTTGGTCCAGCATATCTATAATTGGCAACTGATTCTTAGTACCTGCATAATCCACTGACTCTCAAAATTAAGATCGGAGAGGAGTATTGTACTACAATTCTGTGGAAAGTGACTGTGTCCAAGGAGATTCTGACTACTTCCCTTTCAAGAACAGGAAAATTGGAAAAAATAAAACAGACTCCCACAAAAAAAAACTATAAAAAATATAAGAAACATTAGAGTGAAGTTTCAAAGGAAAACATTCATGGATAAAAAGTTATGAAACGAGATAGAATCTTAAATGATATAAAAGGAAAGTCTGTATTTATTCAATTTCTATGGCAGCACTGATGATACAATGATTATTCACTGAAGCTTAGAATTTAATAGATAAAATATTTAAATAATCAATTATAACACATCACAATGAAAGTCAAAATACAAAAATACATAGTACCTTAAAGGGGCACAGGGACACATAACATCATCTTTAAAGGCTTTCTAGGCAACAGAGATGAAAATAATGTTGGCTAAAATATAGGCATAGGCACCACGGGAAGATGGTGTTGGAGGCCAGCGACATGGAAGATGGGCAGCTTTCCAACCTGACTCAGATTCCGACATAATGGTCACACCCAGCAACAGGCTGCAGCAAGTGTGGAAAGTGCTAGGTGGGGACAGTGCTTATAAGGGCCTTCCAGAGCAGGGCGACTGCATGTGCACCAGTATCACATTACCGAGTTGTTGAAAGTGTGGATTCAAGTGAAGAGAGTTTTTCTGATTCAGATGATGATAGCTGTCTTTGGAAGTGGAAGTGATGGAAATATGTAAACTCTCCTCCCAAACCAGAGTCTTTTCAGTTTGGCCAGAGCAGTCAGAAACCACCTGTTTCTGGAGGAAAGAAGGTTAACAACATATGGGGTGCTGTACTGCAGGAACAGAATTAAGATGCAGTGGCCACTGAACTTGGTATCTTGGGAATGGAGGGCACTATTGACAGAAGCAGACAATCCGAGACCTATGATTGTTTGCTTGCTAAGAAACTTAAGAGGGAATCTCTAGAGCATACGAAAGGGCTAGACAAACAACTAGCTGAATATATGCATGGTGGCAAAAACAAACAAACAAAAAAATGGGATCAAAGGAAGAGGAAAAGGGGCAAGGTCATCTCAAAAGGAAATGACCTGTCAAAGACAGGCTAGGGAACAGACCAGAACCAAAAATGAACTATAAAGGTTGATACGAGATCACAGAGGAAGATTCCCAAGAGAAAGTGGCTGATGAAATGTTATTCAGGTTACAGGAACCAAAGAAAGATCCGATGGCTCAAGCAGTGAGGATTATTGGGAACAAAAGGCAATTGTTCTGCTGGAAACTGCTGAAGTAGAACAAAATGGTGGCCTCTTTATAATGAATAGTAGTTGAAGAGAACACCAGGTGGAGATTTTCTGAATCTCTTGAAAAACACTCCTAGTATCAGCAAGGAACAAATTAAGGATGTTTTCTACATAGAAAATCAAAAGGAATATGAAAATTAAAAAGCTGCTAGGAAGAGAACACAATGAAAAAATGAAATAAGCTATTAAAAGTCTAAATTTTCAAGATGATGATATATCATGAGAAACTTTTACAAGTGACAAAAATGAGGCCCTGGCCTCTCTTGATAAGTCACAGGAAGGACATGGAGAAGCCAAGCTGGATGTCGAGGAAGCCATTGAAGTTGATCATTCTCATAATTTGGATTTTTTAAGTACATTTTCGATAGTTTAAGGAATAAGCCGTTCTAAAATAACATTGTAATAAACAATTTTTACTAAAATTGCAATATTTTGCACTGATTAACATGAGAATCTGGAGGAAAGAGAATTGTTTTCTTGTTTTAAATAAAAACTGATATATGCAGCAAAAGGAATGCAATTGATAGAAACATTTAAATATATATCATGTCTGACAAAATACTTACGAGTATATAGCACAGGATTTAATTTCTCAATCGGTTGCATATTCTAATTATTGTATTACTAGTTAATAATCAGTTTTGTCCAGGTCACTATAACATATTATTAAAAAGTTTATTTGCCTTTTCTAATTTATCTTTGCAGTAAATTATGCTTTGGCTTTAAAACTTCCTATTAAAAGATCATAATGAGACATACAAATTATTAAACTGTCACAAATGCATTCAAATTTGTTTGTTCTGTGTTCTAAGAACTCAGGCAATTTTAATGATAAAGACTAAAATTAAAAGAGGTTTATACTGACAGCTCTTCCCACTTATTTGTTTGTCCAGAAGTAAATAAATGTCAGAAGTTTTTCAAATAACTATTTGTACTTTTTTTTTTTTTGAGACAGAGACTCGGTCTGTTGCCCAGGGGGGAGAGCAGTGGCGCAATCTCAGCTCACTGCAACCTCTGCCCACCAAGTTTAAGCAATCTCATGCCTCAGCCTCCCAGGTAGCTGGGATCACGGGCGCCCCACCATGCCTAACTACTTTTTGTATTTTTAATAGAGACAAAGTTTTGCCATGTTGGCCAGGCTAGTCTAGAACTCCTGGCTTCGGGTGGTCCACTTGCCTTGGCCTCCCAAAGTGCTGGGATTACAGTCGTGAGCCACCACAACCAGTCTATTTGTTCTTAAATTTAATGTGTTTTTTGACTTCTTAATTAACTTGGCCATATACTAAATGTGATCTATACTGTGTATTACCACATACATTTAAAAAAATTTCCCAGGCCAGGAGTGGTGGCTCACACTTGTAATCTCAACATTTTGGGAGGCTGAGATGGGAGGATTGCTTGAGCCCAGGAGTTCGAGATCAACCTGGGCAACATGGTGAGACCCTGCCTCTAATTTAAAAAAAAAAAAAAAAAAACCAGTGGCAGCCTGCCTGAGACTGTTTTACCTTATGTTAAGGAAGTTGGGTATTTAAAATGTTACATGTGCATGGAGTTTTAAATTACTCATTTTTATTAATGAAAATAAAGGTAGCTTGCTTTAGACATTCTGAGAGTTAACTATAGTTTACAAAACATATTAAGCAAAAATATGCTTAATACATTAAGCAGAAATTTTGTATGTTAAGCAAAAATGTAAAATTCAGTAATTATAAACTATTCCTTACAAACAACATACTTGAAGTCTTTCAGTAGTTCCTGAAAATATGGTCATCAAAGTTAAGAGGAAAATGATTATCAGTTGCTTTTTTTTATAAAGAATGCAAAAATAAAATTAGATTTTGGGCAGTCCTTTAAAAAATAGGCATAAACAGGATGCTATATGTAATTATGAAAGTATTGTAATGAAACTGAACTGCAATAGCAGAAACAAAACTTTTACTGAAAACAGTAAAGAATGGATTTGACTCTGACTCTGCCTAAAATAGAAAACTTACATGGAAAGGCTTGAAGTGCTCTCCTATAAGATGCAGAAAATGGGGAAATAGATGAATATAAGATAAAAATTAAAAATTAAAAGCAGAAAACAGTCTAACAAATAATTAATGTCCCTGAAAAAGTGAGCCAAACAAATGGAGCTGGAATAATAAATAGTAAGAAAGATAATGAAGATGTTACTAAGCAAAGAGAAATCAATTAGATAATAGCAAGAACTCATGAAGCAACAGGCAAAATCAAAGAATGACTAACAACCAGTGTGCCCCCATGAACAGTTTGGTTTCCAAGAATATATTCAAAACATTGCAGAATCTATGCAGAAAAAAATATTTCTTAAAATAATACATATCACACTGAAATTGGACTGCTCTGTGGCACTAACAAGTAAAAAACCAAAATTTATAATTTTGAGGAAAATATTGGAGATTTTAGCAAGTGTAATGCTCAAGCTCTCTCTCTTTCTCCCTCTGTCTCTCACACACAGGCATGCACACACACACACACAAAGAAACCTATAAAATTTTGAATAAAACAAAAGGATCAATGATATTAGTAAACACAGTATATCAATTAGAAACTGCTGTTTTATTATAAGACGATCTAGACTTTTGTACTTCAGAATAAACGGTAAAGTCATGGGAGATAGGAATGTAACAATTTAAACTAATGGGACATATCTAAGATATCAAAGGAGATGGCCCTCTTCTGAAAAAAAAAGTAAGTAATAGGAAAAACATGTAAACATCTGTTATCTGTACTACCAACAGCATAAAACAAAATACTGTTGAATAGGTAGTCATAAATATGTTCAATATATTGTAAGAAAAATACACCTGGAAATAAAACAATTCATTAGGAAATTAAGACTGTGAAAAACAGTCCTGGATACTGAAGGAAACTGAATTAAGAGAATGTTTGAGAAATTGAGGAATACTATGAAATGATAAAAATTATAGAGTAAATAAAAAATTCAGGAAATAAAAATAGATAAATTTCTAGGAACATAGAATGGCAGATCAAAGTAGAGAAATGATAGACAAAATGCTAGCAAAAAATAAAAATTATTGAGCTAATAATTTTAAACTTAAAGTATTTCTTACTATACAACAAAATTTATGGAAATATGCTCAATAATATCTTAATCACTGTTCTAGTTTCCTTTTAATTTTGAGGGTAGAGAAAACTTTAAGTGGCCTGGCACGGTGGCTCACGCCTGTCATCCCAGCACTTTGGGAGGCCAAGACGGGCAGATCACAAGGTCAGGAGATCCAGACCATCCTGGCTAACACGGTGAAACCCCGTCTCTACTAAAAATACAAAAAATTAGCCGGCATGGTGGCACACACCTGTAATCCCAGCTACCCAGGAGGCTGAGGCAGGAGAATCACTTGAACCTGGGAGGCAGAGGTTGCAGTGAACCGAGATGGTGCCACTGCACTCCAGCCTGGGCGACAGAGCGAGACTCTGTCTCAAAAAAAAAAAAAAAAAAAATTAAGTAAACATAAATTGTTGGAAAATCTGATGAAGAAATAATGGAGGAAACAAAAATATGTAATTTAGGAATAAATTATGTCAATCTCAGATACGGAATGAAACTTTTAAAATTATAAGCAAATACTACTATATTAATAAATGTCTGATTTTTAAAATGAAATGCTTTCTAGTAGTATGTAAGGTTCAGCCTTGAATAAAACAGATAAAAAATGAGTGGTTTGAAGTAATTTTATCAAAAGATTACAATGAAAAAGGTCATTAACATGGATAGTTTAATGGATGAGGTAATTTATTCCTTCAGGGAACAGGTAAATCTTGTGATTTATCTTTAGATGAACTGTTTCAGAACAAAGAAGAAGATGCAGTGTTTTCCGATTAATATTATGACAATTACCTATACCTGTTTTCAAAGCAGCAAATATAATACACACACAAAAAAGCTCAAAGACCAATCTGACTTGTAAATATAAGTGCAAAATTGAGAAATAAAATGCAGTCATTTTAAATCCAAAACTATATATGTATGGCCAAGTAGGATTTATTACAGGAATGCAAATACTGTTTGTGATTAAGAAATAATCAAATATAATTTATATCATCATTTCAATAAAAAAAAGTTAACCTCAGTAAATCCTAAAACTGTTTGAAAGTTCAACACTTATCTGTAAAAAAAAATCCAGCACAGCAAAGTTTTATAACTTTTGAAGAGAAAACCACTCTCTTAATGAAACGTGAATATTATATAAACAATAGCCAGTTCTGAGATTAGTAGTATAATAATAGAGCAATGGTTCTGAGAATTGGGGGATTATGGAACCCTTTTACAATCTGACAACAGTCATGAACTCTTTCTCCTCCCAAATGTACATATATCCATATGTACAAAATTTTACATATAATTTTTGGGCATTTATGGATATTCTGAAGATCATAGATATTGTTGAAATTTTAATCCCACTATTGGTTTAAAAATTCTGGCCAAAGTAATAATAATAATAAACAAGGTATAAACATTGGAAAAGAAAACAGGGGTGCTGGGTATGGTGGCTCACGCCTGTAATACTAGCACTTTGGGAGGCCGAGGCGGGCGGATTGCCTGAGCTCAGGAGTTGAAAACGAGCCTGGGCAACACAGTGAAACCCCATCTCTACTAAAAATACAGAAAAAAAAAATAACCGGGTGTGGCAGCATGAGCTTGCAGTCCCAGCTACTCGGGAGGCTGAGGCAAGAGAATTGCTTGAATCCAGGAGATGGAGGTTGCAGTGAACCGAGATCGCGCCACTGCACTCCAGCCTGGGCGACAGAGTGAGACTCCATCTCCAAAAAAAAAAAAAGAAAGAAAAAAGGAATACAGAATTATTACTTTCAGAAGAAAAGTTGTTCAATGACAGAAAACTAAGTTGTTCAAGTAATACAACGTATTTTAAGAATGAATATTTTTCTTATATACAAGGAAAAAACAGTCAAAAAATAAATTTCATGTTATCAATAAAATTCAAAAATTTTGAAATAAACATATCAGGAAATAATTAGTATCCTATTTAAAATAATCAAAGCCCTTATGAAATGTCATAATCTAATCTTGAACAAATTTAGTGTCATACTGTGTTTATGACTACAGAAATAGTTTTATAAACATAAAAATTTTTGTCAAATTATTAAAAATATTTAAAGTAATTCCAAAATTTAAAAGTTCCTGTTTGTGACCATATGTTAAAATACTTTGTAACTTTTTAATATTTTATTACATTATTTATAACATGAAAATATTACATAGTATCTCTACACATACTTTAAGTATATTATATTTGTATTAGACAAGTCATGGAAACATAATGAAGGCCAGAAATAGTGTACATACAAGAAAACTACAATAAAGAGCTCTGGGGCAATGCAAAAACAAGCCCAGTTAAACTCTCACCTTTTATCATAAAGAATTACATTCAATATAGATGATGATTTAAATGTTGAAATTAAGCTTTAGTTGAGTGTGAAGAAAATATGTTTATATTTTATTACATATGTTTGTGGTCTTTCTAAGCAGTATACCAAAACAAAATTCCTGAAGAAAAAAGATGATTGAAAAAGAAAAGAAAAGAAAAAAGATGATTGATTAGCCCAAATAAAAATTAAATGATTTTAAACATAAAAATCCAAAATTTAAAAAAATTAAATTAAAATACGAAAATGTCTTAAGATATATGGCAAAAGATTCCTACAGATTTTCAAAGAGTAGAAATTTAGGTAGAGGGGGCATAAAAGCCGACATAGACCAGTGGAACAGAGAAACCAGAAATAAATTCACACATATATAGTCAACCAATATTCAACAAGTGTGCCAAGAACACATAATAGAGAAAAGGATAATCTCTTCAACAAATGATTTTGGGAAAACTGAATATTCATATGCAAAATCATGAAATTTTCTTTTAGCTTTTATTATACCACACACAATAATCAACTCAAAATGAATTAAAAATTTAAATATAAGAACTGAAGCTACCCAGCTCTTTGGGAGGCCAAGGTGGGCAGATCACCAAGGCCAGGAGTTCAAGACCAGCCTGGCCAATATGGCGAAACCCTATCTTTCCTAAAAAGACAAAAATTAGCCAGGTGTGGTAGCACATGCCTGTAATCCCAGCTATTTGGGAGGCTGAGCCAGGAGAATCACTTGAACCTGGGAGGTGGAGGTTGCGGTGAGCCGAGATTGCCCCATTGAACTCCAGCCTGGGCAGCAAGAATGAAACTTAATCTCAAAAACAAAACAAAACAGAAAACTGAAACTACAAAACCCCTGGAAAAAAACATAGAGAAATAGCCTTATGACATTGGGTCTGGCAACGATTTTTTGGATATGGCACCAAAATCACAAGCAATAAAAGCAAAATTTAGCAAGCGGGACAACAAGCTAAAAAGCTTCTACGCAGCAAAGTCAATAGAGTGAAGAGACAACCTACAGAATGTAAGTAAATATTTGCAAACCATATATCTGATAAGAGATTAATACCCCAAATATATAATAAATGCCTACAACTCAGTAGCCAAGAAAATAAGTAAGCTGATTTTAAAATGGACAACAGACTTGAATTGATATTTCTTTAAGAAGACATACAAATGGCCAACAGGCAATGAAAAGATGCTCCACATCAGTAGTCATCAGGGAAATGCCAAGCAGAACCAGAGTGAGTTATCACCTCACACCTGTCAGGATGGCTATTATCAAATAAATAAACCCAACAGACAAAAACAAAGAAACAAAACAAAGCAAGTCTTAGCGAGGATGTAGAGACATTGGAACCCTTGTGCACTGTTGGTGGGAATGTAACATGTTGCAGCCACTGCAGAAAAAACTATGGAGGATCCTCCAGAAATTAAAAATACATCCAACAATCCTGCTTTTAGAAATATATCCAAAGGAACTGATATCAGGATTTTGAAGTGATATGTGCACTCCCATGCTCACTGCAACATTGTTCACAATAGCCAAGATATTAAAACAACCTAAACATTCACTGACAGATTAGTGAATAAAGAAAATGTGGTATATAACTACAATGGAATATTATTTAGCCTTAAAAGAAGAAAGCCTGCTGTATGCAACAACAGGGATAAGTGTGGAGAAGATTATACTAGGTGAAACAAGCCAGTCATTGAAGGACAGTGCATGATTCCACTTATATGAGGTATCTAAAATAATCCATCTTACAGAAACAGAATGTACAGTGGTGTATATTAGGTTCTGGGGAGAGGGTAAAAGTCAGGAGTTGCTTTCCAAGGGTGTAAAGTTTCGGTTGGGCAAGATGAATAAGTTCTAGAGGTCTGCTGTGCAACATGGTACCTATAGTTAACAATACAGTACTGTGTACTCAAAATTTTTTGAAGTGAGTAGATCCATGTTTTAAGTGTTCTTTACACACACACACATATGCACAAGCAAAAGGCACAATGATTTCACATATAAGTGTGTTCAATGTTGCATCATTATAGTATCAAAATTGTGTCAATAATCTACAAATGATTGGGTCAATTATGACCCAAGCATTTAAGGAAATGTCATGTAATCATATAAGTCATTTTTAAAGAACATTACCACTATTGAATAATACTCACCAGGTAATAGTAAATGGAAAAAAACACAAAAATACATATGATTACATGTAAAATTCCAAACTCATCAATATGTGCATAGCAATATGCAAATTTTTAGGAATAGTCACTTTGAAGTGGTAGGAAGAGAGATGGGACTATCTCCTTAATTTTGCTTTCTGGGTTTTCAAGCATTCTAAAATGAGCTACACATATTATATAGCAGTAATAAAAGCAGTAATAATAAAAATAAAAATTATGACCTCAAGTTGGAAGCATTTGCCTAATATATAATAGAATTATGCTACGTATGTTACTTTTTCCTTTTTCACATTCTTCTTACAATAACTGTCCAATCTAGACGCTATTATTATTCTCCCCTTATTGCCACTCGATGAACTGAACTTTAGATACATTATGTAATTTGTTAGTTAAAGAATTTGGTAACTTGTTTACATGGGCAGTAAAAGGCAGAGTCTGCATTCAAAACCATAATCAGAAAAAATATAATAAAGGCAACACCTGGGTTTTTAGAAAGATATGCAATATGAATACAACATATTCCTTAGGTCTCATTTTTTTGTCCCTTTGTCATCCAGGTACCTTAATCTTCACCAATGCTGAGGATAAACATATTTGTTTGTTATTGAACACATTACTTCTTTTCATGATTCTATACCAGGAGTTGGAAAACTTTTTCTGTAAAAGGCCAGACATAAAATATTTCATGCTTGTGGACCATGTGATCTCTGTCATAACTATTCAATACCTAGACAAACACACACACACACACATAAATAAATAAATAAATAACATATATGATACCTAACATATACAATGTAGGTATACAAATATATAATTAGGTATATAAACATATCCAATACCTAAGCAAATGTGCATGGCTGAGTTCTAATAAAACTTTATAGACATCAAAATTTTATTAAAATTTTATATAATTTTATAATGCTATAAACTATCACTCTTTTTACATTTTTGACAATTTTAAAAGTGAAAAGTCATCTTTAGCTTGTGGGCCATATAAAACAGGGCTGGACAGATTTGGCCCATGAGTTGTAGTTTGCTAATCCCTGCCTATACCTTTGCTCATGACATCACCTGTGGTTGCATGTGCCCCCTCCTCCACCTGGCTGACTTCTTCCTTCTCATCTTAAAAACTAAAACGTGTCTCCCCTGTGATGGTTCCAGATAGGGTTATTCCTGTATGCTTTTAAAATTCTTTAGTTATTCAGTTGTATTTTAGTTATCTATTGATATTTAAATTTAATCTGTAAACTCCTTCAGACCTGAAACTGCTTATTTTATTTATAGGAATAAGCCCAATGCCTGTCCATATTAAGCAATTTATGTGTATTTTTGGATGAATGAGTGTAAGAATAAATACATGAATATCAGGGAGTTCGTTATTCCTAAGTTTCCATTGGATTTCATATCCAACTACATCCTACTAAAATGACTTTCAGGCCAAGTGCGGTGTCTCACACCTGTAATCCCAGCACTTTGGGAGGCTGAGGCAGGCGGATCACCTGAGGTCAGGAGTTCAAGACCAGCCTGGACAACATGGTGAACCCTGTCTCTATTAAAAATACAAAAATTAGCCAGGCATGGTGGCGAGCACCTGTAAACCCAGTTACTTGGGAGACTGAGACAGGAGAATTGCTTAAGCCCAGGAGGCGGAGGTTGCAGTGAGCTGAGAACGCACCACTGCACTCCAGCCTGGGCGACAGAGTGAGACTCTATCTCACAAACAAACAGACAAACAAACAAACAAAAATCCACTTTCACTAGAAGCTCCATTTTATGACAACTGTGTTGTGTGTGATGCTGGTGGAGAGGATTGTGGAGGACGAATGGCAGAGATGAAAGGGCTTGCTGAGGTTCCTATAGAACTTCTGGAACCTACTGGGGAAGAAGAGCTGGTGACCTGTCTCCAGTGTGGGAGACATTGAAGAAGCTGATGGCCCATAGCCAGCCCCCAGGCTCCTTGACAGTTCCTCTAGAACTTCCCCAGGAGCAGCTATTTGCTAATCATCTGAGCAACTGTCCCTGGAATAGAAACCCACTCTCCTAGGCCTTCTGTAACCATAAAACTTCCCTAAAGAAGTAGTGTCTCCTGATGTCCTCTGCCTCATGAATGTTCTAGTGAGGTAAGTCTTCCCTGAATTAATCAGAGGAAAATCAAGACCTGGAAGAGGTGTATGTCCTATGGAAGCTCCGGCTACTGAAATTTTTCTAACCTGGAAAGCTTTACAGGATAGAGTTAGGAAAAAAATCCTGAGTCATTTATTTCTTCTGCAGCCTTAGATCTCACTTACCTTATAATACAGGCAAAGAAAACAGACCTAGAGAAGAGAGGAACTGATAAGATCTTCCTAGTGTGAGCAGAGGAATAAAATTAAGTATCCCACAAACCCTGCTCAAACCTTGTCCAGTTGAGCAACTGAAGCTGGAGAGTGGCCCCTGGTAAATTAGGTCCTTGGCAAAAAGCCTTACCCGTGTCGAACAAGAACATGTGCCTTGTTCAGCTCTGCCTGACTTCCATGCTTCATGCATGCCCTTCATGCACATGTTTCATAAATGTAATCAAAGAGCTTTCTCTTTGTTTCAGCAAAGCCAAAAGAGAAATCAGCGAAGTCCTATTCCTTGTTCCAGCTGAGCTAATAATGGCTGAAGCTGTAGCCTGCTCACTGCTGCCTTGTGTGTTAGTGGCATGTTAGAGGTGAGTGAGCACAGTAGGAGGGTTGGCCATGCTCCCTGTCCTGGCTTTCAGAAAATTATTCCCAGTCGTGCCTCTTTTGTCCTCAGGGACAGCTGAAGGGCTGGCACCTCTATCCCCACCGGCCACCTCCCTGATGTTTCTGGGCTCACCGAAGCTCCTCTTCTTTCCCTTCCTCAGGAGGACCTGACCTTTCTTGAATCTATTGTTCTTTGGGGCCCAAAGAAATATTGGATGTCAAAAGGATGAATTCAAAAAGAAAAACCATACTCTAGGGATATAGGGTTGTGCAAAGTAAAGCACAAAACTTTTGGATTCTTAGTGATCTAAGTTTAAAACCAGCTCTCAAACTCACTGACTTTAGGTATTTAGTGATTTATCAAACTTCCTGAGTTTCAGTTTCCATATGGCTTAGACAAAGATCATAAGGCTTATTTTATAGGATTGGTGTGATGAGATGACATATATTAGCAATCATATTAATATATTATGTTACAACATATATATATAAAATCTCACATTAACATTATATTACTATAACCTATCATATGGCAATAATTTTTCATTTATTTAACAAATATGTATTGAGTAATTGCTACATGCCAGGCATTGCTCTAGACCCTGAGATAGAGAAATGAACAAAACATGTGAAGTCTCTCTGCTCATAAAGCATACATTTGAATGGCAGAATTCAGGTGTTGAACAAATGAATGATTAAGTACATAAGACTAGTCATTATAAACAAAATTTGAGATGAGAAACAGGAAACTGCTGACAGAAAGGACTCAATCAAGTAGACTTCCTTTAGTATAAAATTTGGGGGTTTTTTTTGGCTAATCTTAGGCTGGTCATGGTTAAGAAAAATGTATGAGATATAATTTTTTGTCCAAATGTTGATCAAATGAATTGAAGCCCTAAGATTTTGAAATGGTTAGTGAGCAGCACGAGATAGAAATAGTGATTCAGGCAGAATCACAATTTTAGAGCGAGGAAAAATTATGATTGTTTTTTATTGGACTACAATTTTTAACAGCAAAAGAATGGGAAAATTACCTTAATTCCATCAATAGGGGATTGATTAAAAATTGTATATTTTTATACAACTGTCTGTACAGATAACTGTAGGCCATGGCTCATGGGTACAAATCAACCATATAGCTCATATAGACAATTCTGCCCGTTGTCTGCTTTGCTGCAGTCCCATCTCAAACCAGATAGCATCTGTCTGTGGTTGTACAGCGACTTCTGTCCATACACAAGGGTTACCTCAGCTGTACCCATCTGAGTACCAAATGTTTTCAGGAAAGGGGGGCCATGCCTTTGGCTACCATTGGAGGTATCTCCTGTGGAGGCTTCACAAGAAGGGCAGCACAGGCTTCATAGTATACTGGCCCTAAGATGGCATGTAGTTCATTTCCCAAGGGACTTGTGGAGAAGCCACTACAGGTTGCAGATATGCATCCCAGTTTTGTAAACTGGAGGCTTGACCAATAGCTGATACATACCTAGCAAACAACACTTCTGTTCAGCGTTTAGTAGGGAAAACTCTTCTTACTGTTACCAGCAAAGCGACAGTTACGGGTTCAATTTGTCATAAAGCTTTGTCTACCCCCAGGACTGGTTGTTTCATCAGGGAATAGTTAGGTTTCAGCATCCTTTCGTTGTTGTGACCAGAATCCTAAGGGAACCGTTGTCCCATGCTGGACTTGCAGAGGGCCCAACTGGTCCCTCAGGGATTATGGCCACATCCAAAGATATTGGTATCCCAGGAAGGGGGGACCCTAAGCCTTGTGCCTGAGCCACTAGTATTTTAGCCTTCTAATGTGCATCCTCTTCTTTTTTATCTCAGCACAAACTAGATTCCTTCTTTACTAGTTGGCATAGGGGACACAAACGTTGCGTTAAATGTGAAGTAAATATCCAAAAAGACCTAGGAAATTTGTAACTGTTTAACTGTCTTAGATGTGGAATACTGTGGTATTTTGTCAATGACTATGCCTGGGATAAGATGTGTCTTACCCAAGGTAAGTGTGCCTGGGATAAGATGTGTATTACCCAACCAAGTGACCCCTGGGAACTTTACAGCCAGCCATGGGCCTTGTATCTTTTGCAGGTTGATGACCTATCCTATCCATTGGAGAATGGTACACAGTGCATCCAGGTGTTGCTGTAGCAATGACAAGTCTTCAGGGGTTAGCATAGTCATCAATATAATGCCTGTGAGTCAGGGCTAAAGGGATGCTAAAGAAGGCAGAAGCCAAATCTAATACAGCATAAGTGCTATATTGTGCATTATTTGTTCTATCACTTGAGTTCTATTAGGCACAATATGGAAAACAACCCCCAAATGTGCAGAAAGAGCCGAGAAACCAAAGAACAAGGCAGACGAATCCAGTTTGTCAGTAAGGGGAGGGTTATTGGGGAACTTATGGATGGAAGTATGGTCTTGGGCAGCAGCAAAACAGGTAGATCTCTGCACCTGTTACCCTCAGACCAAGGGCTTATATACCATAGGGAAAGGGTGTATGTCCTCTGTGCAAGACAATTAAAGGCAACCTTCTGGAACAGAAAAGAATGCTATATTCATCATAGCCTATAACTTGTATGATAATATCACAAAGGCAGAATTTATAGTGAGTACAAGTTCTTACACTAAGGATGGAAAATAAAATAGGAATCAGGAAGTATTCATGAAACTTGGGCTAATCCAAAGTCAACACGATAGATTAGTATCCAAGATGGAGTGACTTTTGTCTCCACAGCACAGACATCAGTTCATGTGGAGAGGTTCCTAGAACCAATGCCCAAGATATAGAGAGTTGACTGTAAATAGAAAATTTCTGAAAGGATACATAAAAAAATTGTTAATATTATTGCCTTTGGGACAGGGATGTGGGGAACCAGAAAGGTCAGCATTGAGAAAGAAATATTTTAATCATATGTTGTTTCATACTTAATTAATTTTATTATGTCTGTTTATTAAAATTTTTGGAAAAAGAGAGATACCTGAAACAAAACACTTTCATTCTGATTATTTCCCCAATAATTTCTTGCCTTATGACTCAAATAAACATATTAAAATTAATCCATGTCTCAATACCCATTGTGAAAAGGAAACGAGATAAAGTGTAGGAAACATGCCAAACCCTGGTGAATGTCATATGTTAGGCTGTATCATGATACTATTTGACCTTGAACTTGAAGGTTGCCATCAAGGAAGAGAAGGGGCATTCCAGCTGACTATATGATGACTATCACTGCCATCAACACTGTTTCTTTAATCACACTCAATGTTTGTCAGATTGGCTTCTTTCTTTTTCTCCAATACACCAAACTTTCCTGCCTCAGGGCCTTTATGTAAGTTAATACATTTGTTTTTTAATGCCTTTCCCCCTAATTTTCACCTTGTTAACTCCTATTCAGTTTTCTGATACCACTTTGTCATTTTCTATTGTCATTTCCCCAGAAAGCACTTTCCTAACTCTTTTGTATTTGGATTCCCATGTATTCTTTCTCAGAGAATTTTGTTCTTTTTCTTCATAGCAATAATAGCAATATATAATTATATATTTATTTGTAAATTCTTTATTTAATTTTCATAGGGTGACAATGTCTCTAAGGATAAGGACTCAGTTTTGGTCACCACTGTAAATCCAGTACTTATTAGTATATGTAAAGGAGGATTCGGAAGTGAGCATGGAATTTGAGAACAGTGAGGTGGCTTTTATGATAACAATTTAGAAGTAAGGGCTTGGCTAGGCTCATGGCAGTAGCAGTGAAAATGGGAATTGAACCAAAGTTTGAGTAAGAATTTTTCCAATGAAGAATTACCAGGATTAGGAGACTTGGCTCATGCCTGTAATCCCAGCACTTTGGGAGGCCAAGGCGGGTGAATCACCTGAGGTCAGGAGTTTGAGATCATCCTGGCCAACATGGTGAAACCCTGCCTCTACTAAAAATACAAAAATTAGCCAGGCATGGTGGTGTGTGCCTGTAATCCCAGCTACTTGGGAGGCTGAGGCAGGACAATTGCTTGAACCCAGGAGGCAGAGACTGCAGTGAGCTGAGATCACGCCATTGCACTCCAGCCTGGGTGACAGAGGGAGACTCCATCTAAAAAAAAAAAAAAACAAAGATTAGGAGACTTGTTGAACACTTCTATGATAGTATATATCAGAATAAGATTATAACATAGTAAAGCCCTTTGCATGGCACTTTTTGTTCCATAGCTGTTGATTTACTTGTCTGTCTGAAAGAGCAGGAGCTCCTAGAGGGCAGTACCTAGCTCATTGTTATACTCTTGGGTTTTAGTATACATTAATAAATATTCATTGATTAAATGAATATGCCAATGAAAGATGGGAATAAGAAAAAGGAATAAGTAACAAGGGCAGTAGCAGTGACAACGGAAATACGAATTAACCATAGAGGATGAGTAAAAAAACGTATTTCCAAGGAATAATTTGGAGAGTGGTTGAATACTTTTATGATAGCAATGATCAAAGTGTGGCATTATCACATAGTGAAGTACATCGAATGAAATTTCATTTTATGATTGTCTGTTTACTTCTCTGTCTTATCTACTGGGCCAGCACCAACTAGAGAGCAGCAGCTCAATCACAATTCTGTCTTCAGGACCCAGTATATCAAATGTTCTCGGATGGAATGTAAAATTAAATCAGTGAAAAATTAAGTCAAAAAGAAAGGTAAGGCCAGGCGTGGTGGCTCACGCCTGTAATCCCAGCACTTTGGGAGTCTGAGGTGGGCAGATCACGAGGTCAGGGGATCGAGACCATCCTGGCTAACATGGTGAAACCCCGTCTCTACTAAAAATACAAAATATTAGCCGGATGTGGTGGCAGGTGCCTGTATTCCCAGCTACTCGGGAGGTTGAGGCAGGAGAATGGCTTGAACCTGGGAGATGGAGCTTGCAGTGAGCCAAGATCGTGCCACTGCACTCCAGCCTGGGCGACAGAGCAAGACTCCGTCTCAAACAAAAAAAAAAAAGAAAGGTAAATAATAAGAGAAAAACTGTCCAAATTTGGTCATTGGAACAATGAATTTGTTCGTGCACTATTCTAGGTAAACCTGGGGTTCAGAATGTCATCATGCAGGCATGCCACAGAGTTAGAGTTGTCTTCTGGTCTGTATGTGACCCTCAGTTAACCATCTCAGGACACTTCTGACAGACCATGATCCTAGATCCCTGTTTAACCAGGTGTGGACTTTTGTATTGACTCTCAGTTGCATCATTCATGCTTTGATTGGCTATACTCAAAGTACTCTCACATAATGGGTAATGTAAGTTGTTTACAACTTTGGGATATATAGGGTGTTAATCCCTTCTGGGTGAGTTACTCATCTCAGTGTATGCAAACAAACCCTCACAAACAATATATGCTTATTAGCAGAGGGGTAAACATCTTTGGGCACACATTTTGGGTAACATTTCTGGGGGCTTTTGGGGTTAAAATTTGGGGGACTCTTGAGAAAAACATATTTGCAAATCCAGGAACATTTTTATGGGAAATTGCTTACCAGTCTCAATTGTATTTGCCATGTTTACTGTTACTGTTAGTAGGGAGAGTGAGGCATCCTTCATAAAGGTTATTTCATACATTATAGTTTGGGAGCATTGTGCTACACAGATACCTTGCTGCCTAAGCAGAAACGTCTTGGAGGCAGTTGGAAACATAAAATTCACAGTTGGTTGAGAGGTTACTGCTAGAGGTAGTGATTTAGGAATTAATCATTCATTAAAATATTTATTGAGTGTTCATGAGTGCTAGCCCAGGAATATGAACATAAATGGAAAAGTTGTCCTTACATTCACGTGATATGTATATAAAATACAATTACATTGTCTTCAGTGCATTAACAGTATATGTGACAGAGGCGAATTAACTCAGCTTTGTCTAAAGGAAATCAGAGAGTTTCTAGAAGAAACACATTGGGGAAGATGTAAGGAAAAAGAAGGAATTTTTGACAGAAAAATTTTATAAAGACATAAGGGCTTAATAAGAATTTCTACCATTTATTGAACATTTACTATGTGCTAAGTTTTTCTTTTAGAAAATAAAAGTCACTTTATAAGTACTTTTAATGATTCCAAAGAAATAGCTCAACATACAATAGATCAGATAATCTCCATTTAAATTGGTCCCAACATTCTTTCTTGTTGTGTTTTGTTTCTTCTTATCACGCTTTTTTTTAAATAACCTTGTTAAACTTCATTCTATTTCCTCTTATATCTAGTGTCTACCTCTACATTGTAGAGAAGGCATATGCAATATTTTAAAAGTAAAGGCTATTTCAGATTTAGACCTACATTAAAATCCTTGCTCTGACACTTAAATAGTTGCAACTGTTGAACAAGTTACTCTTTTGAAGCAGATGTGCTATTTTATAAATTATATTAATATCTGTAAGAATTAATCAAGACTTTATTTTAAAATATTAACTCATATTTCCTTGTCAATAAATGCTAGTTACTTAATTTACCCTGCTTCCTGGGAGGAGGTAGAGCTTACATAGATTTCTTATGGCACAATTATAGTAAACATCCTTGAGAATTCTGCATAACAAAACTCCCACATTGAATTGCAGGAAATACAAAAGTATAGAAAGGATCACATAGGGCCGAGCGTGGTGGCTCATGCCTGTAATCCGAGCACTTTGGGAGGCCAAGGTGGGCGGATCATGAGGTCAGGAGTTTGAGACCAGCCTGGCCAATATGGTGAAACCCCATCTCTACTAAAAAATACAAAAATTAGCCAGGCGTGGTGGTGTACACCTGTAGTCCCAGCTACTCAGGAGGCTGAGGCAGGAGAATCACTGGAACCCCGGAGGTGGAGGTTGCAGTGAGCCGAGATCACGCCACTGCACTCCAGCCTGGGTGACAGAGCAAGATTCCATCTCAAAAAAAAAAAAAAAAAGAAAGGTTCATATAGATCCACAAGTAGATGTGGTTGGCTTATATTATTCTTATTTTATTGTATAGTATTATTTATAAAATATTATTATACATATATCAGATAACTATATTATAGCCCACTTACAAATTAGAAAGTGTAAAGACAGAAATTCAGAGTAATATGTATCAGCTTGCATAGCTTGTAGGTAGTAGATACAAGATTTGACCCTAGACCTTTCAGACTCTAAATTGTCAAGGGGAATAAAACAGAATATGGTTTTGTTTGTTTTACTGTTTTTTGTTTGTTTGTTTTGTTTTTTGAGACAGTGTCCTTTGTGTCGCCCAGGCTGGAGTGTAGTGACACAATCATAGTTCACTGCAGCTTTGACAGCTTTGAACTCCTAGACTCAAAGAATCCTCCTGCCTCAGCCTCCCAAGTGGCTAGGACTATAGCATACACCACCATTCCTGGTGAATTAAAAAAAATTTCTTTTTTTTTTTTTTTTTTGGTAGAGATGGAGTGTCACTATGTTGCCCAGGCTGGTCTCAAACTCATAGCCTCAAGCAATCCTTCCACCAAGGCCTCCCGAAGTGTTGAGATTACAGGTGTGAGCCACCGCACCCAGCCTAAAAATACTGTTTAAAGAAACTAAAAATGCATAGTATAAGGGGAAAGAAAAAAGTTCAGTATGACTATAATTGAATGAATAAGTGAATGATAAAAATTGAAGTTGGAAAGATAAGCTAAAACTTGACTATAAGGATTCTTGTATGACACACTAAAAACATTAGTTTTATTCTGATCATGAGAGTGAATCAAGAGTTTTTAAGCATGAGAATGACAGATCATCATACGTGTGTTCAGAAAAAACTCCGGGGATGCTAAAGAGTATGAATTGGAATGAGTTGTATGTGTAAGTCTGCAGCAGGCTGGGAGATAGGAAGACCAATTAGTGTAACCGTGAAACCAGACCAATCTGGTTCAACTTTTATGTAACAAAGGAATGAGTCATTTTTCAGTTGCCATAGACCCTAGGTTGCAAGTTAGGTAATTTGAGCATGCCCAGATGAACGAAGTACACAATCGTGAGTGGAACCTAATGGCTTAGTCCAAGAAACAGGGACGGAATTAACAAGCAGACAACACATGATCCAATCAGATTGAGCCCTGACATCATCCCGTGGCATAATCCAGTCAGATCACGCCTCCCAGCATTACCTCATTCACACCTCATTACTCTGTCTATGAAACCTGCCCCAGTCCCCAGCTCAGGGAGACAGATTTGAGCATTTCCTTCTGTTTCCTTGCCAGTTGACTTGCAATAAAGCTGTTTTTCTCAAAAGCTAGTGACATGGTACTGGCTTCTATGCTCTTTGGGCAGTGAGCCCTTGCTCAGTAACATTAGGAGGCTCCAATATTAATCCTGGTGGGAGATATAAGATATGAGTCAATGCCGAAGTTTCATCTCTGCAGGAGTGATGTGTTGGAACCCCGTGAATGGACAGGATGTCTAGGGGACAGTATACAGGGAGGAGAGAAGAGGGCCAATGAATTAACTCCAAGGACAAATACAATTTTAAAAGACTTGGAAAATAACACAAAGAATCTGTACTTGGACACATGGAGGAATACCGAGAGAATCTGTGGTTATAGAAGGCAAGATTATAAAAAGTTTCAAGAGCTAAATTCCATTTACAAAAGCATCCAAGAGAACTTAAAGAGCATTCGATTTCTTCAAGAATATCTTTAGATCAATAGCTGTTCTGAACCTTGGATCACTTGACTCTGTTGTCACTTCTTCCCACCAAAGACCTGGTCCCTCTGGATGTCCTTCTCCAGAATCATAGTCTCAGAGCTGGAAGGGACCCTGGAGACATCAGAGTACAAGCCTAAGAGTCTCTGCTAAGTTCTTTCTCCCTCTAACACAGCTACGCCTGGGCTGAGCTCTGTTATCACTGACTTCTGTCTTCAGTCTCCTTTACCCCTAGAGATGCTGACTAACCACTCTATTAATGAGCAGTCACAGGCTGTGACCTCATTAAAAAGTAGCTAATGAGGCACTTTGTTGTTCAGGAAGCAGTCTACCGAGGTTCCCAGTGGCCTATCTTGGGGCGTGGAGGGAAAGCTTAGGTGAATAGAAGGGATCAGGTCTGGGGGAGAGGGCTAATGATTGAGGCTGCAGAGCCATAGCTTCAAATAAACTCATCTTGGCAAGCAGCCACCTTTGAAGCTCAAGTCCCTGCTGGCCTGCAGGTAGACAGGAGTAGATGTGGTTCAGAGTGGCAGCGATTTCCCTCTGAGCTGTCAGCTCTGCCTAATGCCTGCTCTCTTGACCCATTTTGATGGAGAGCTTTAACATTTGAAATCAAGAGGTGGTTTTGTGTTGCTGTGAGTTTGTGAATTATGAACAATTGTATAAGCCTTTTGATTGGTCTCTATCTCGCAGGCTGTGTCTTCTTGCAATTCATTCTATATATAGAAGGGCCTTGTATGCTGAAGACTGTGTGTGTGTGTGTGTGTGTGTGTGTGTGTGTGTGTGTGTGTGTGTATTTGAGACAGGGTCTTGGTCTGTCTCCCAAGCTGGAGAGTACATCATCTTGCACTCCAGATGCATCAGTGGCATCATCTTGGCTTACTGCAGCCTGGACCGCCAGGACTCAAGTGATCCTCCCACCTCAGCCTCCTGAGTAACTAGGACTATAGGCACGTGCCATCACACCCAGTTAATTTTTGTATTGTTTTATAGAGACAGGGTTTCATCATGTTTCCCAAGCTAGTCTTGAATTCTGGAGTTCAAGGGATCCTCCTGCCTCCTGCTCAATCCCAAAGTGCTAGGACTACAGGCATGAGCCACTGCACCCAATCCCTTCAATATTTTTTTCCTTTCTACCCTTCCACCCTCATCTCCCATGTTATCAATTTCATCATTATTACTACTCTTATCACCATCACCTTCATGGGTATCATCATAATTAATATTTGTATAGTGCTCAAATGTTCCTCAGTGTATTTAAACCTCACAACAATGCCATCAAATAGGTGCTGTGGCTAATCCTCATTTAATAGAATAACGCTGAGGCAGATATGTCATGTAGCTTGACCTATGTCTTATAGCTACTCAGAGAAACAGGATTACATCCCAGGCGTTTGGTTCTAGAGTGTATGCTCTTACCTATGATGTTGTACATCATGAAGATTTAGGCTTCTGTGCTTTTTGCACTCACTACTGGCTTGTCATGGAATGCTCATCTCACAGGCACCCTCAAATCATGGCTCCCATTCCTTCTTACACTTCTTAATTTGCTACTTCTGATCATTTGACACTAGGACCTGGGATCCTAATGTCCAAGGAACATGTCCATCTCCCCACTGAACTGAGACTTCTTGCACATCAAGTATTTAGTTGGGTTCAGTAACTTATAGTGGTATTACTGAATATTTTAGTATATATTATACTTGTTTAAATATACAATACTATATCCTCTTTGGGAAACTGGAAACTGCTCTTGCCCTTTCTATTGCTGTCATGTCCCTGCTCATCCTCCCATTTTTTCCTATCTCAATAAACTTCTACCAAACTGGTTGCTTATGCCAGAAATATGGGTGTAGTCTTTGACACCAGTCTAACACTAAACTATCAGAAGCTCTCACCTAGACTACTGCCATAGTGTCCTACACTAATCTCTTTATACTCTTGCCACTTGCAATAAATTATCTACCCAGTAGACATATTTATCTTTAAAAATACCACTCTTTGCTCAAAATGCTTCATAACTGTCCATTTCATTAGACTAAGATCTAAAATCTATAAGATGGTCCAAAAAATTCTCATTTATCTGACCTCTTTTACCTATACAACTAATTTTACCTGTTTCATTCTTATTCACAAAATTTCAAATAGGTTTTTTTCTGTTTTGGAATCAGGATAATATTAGCCTCACAGAGTGAATTGGGAAGTGTTCTCTCTTTAATTTTTTGGAACAGTTTATAAAAAATTGGTGTTAATTCATCTTAAAAGTATGTTAGAATTCACTAGTGAAGCCATCTAGCCCTGGGCTTTTGTTTGTGGGAGGATTTTTTATTATTAATTCTACCACTTTAGTTGTTACAGGTCTATTGAGATTTTATTTCTTTTTAGTCAGTTTGGTTTTGTGTCTTTTAGGAAATTTGCATTTTATCTAGGTTCTCTAGTTTGTTGACATGCAGTTGTCCATAGCATCCCTTATAATCCGTTTCATTTTGGTAAAGTTGGTTATAATGTCCCCCGCCCCTTTCATTTCTGATTTTAGTAATTTGAATCTTTTTTTCTTTTTGGCTTGATCATTGTAGCTAATAGTTGGTCAATTTTGTGAGTGTTTTCCAAGAACCAACTTTTGATTACATTTTCTCTATTATTTTCTATTCTATATTTAATTAATTTTTGCTGTGATTTTAAAAATCATTATATAAAAATGTTTATTAGTTTATTCCTTCTGCTCACTCTGTGTTCAGTTTGCTGTTCTATTTCTAATTTCTGAAGATGGAATCTTAGGATATTTATTTGAAATATTTCCTTTTAATTTTTAAAATGTTGGTGTAAAATGACCTTTCATAGTTGTATATATTCCTGGGGTACAAACTGATGTTATAATTTATTACAATATAGAATAATTAAATCGAGTGAATTAGCATATCCATCACCTCAAATACTTATCATTTTTTGTGATTAGAACATTTGAAATGTACTCTCTTAGCAACTGTGAAATGTACAATATACCATTTTAACTGTATTCACCACACTGTGCAATAGATCTCAAAAATAACCTCTTTTTTCTCTTGAGACCTTGTATGCTTTGATCATCATCTCCTCATTCTCCCCTCCCCAGCCTCTGTAACCACCATTCTACTCACTGCTTCTAGGAATTTGATTGTTTTAGATTCCACATATAAGTGAGAACCTGTAGTATTTGCCTTTCTGTACATGGATTATTTCATTTAACATAATGTTCTCTAATTCCATCTATATGTCACAAATGACAGAATTTCTTTCTTTTTAAAGGCTGAGTAGTATTTCATTTTGTATATACAATCACACATTGTCTAACAATGTGTCTTAGGATACATTCTAAGAAATGCATTGTTAGGCAATTTTGTTGTTGTGTGAACATCATAGAGTATATTTACATAAACCTAGATGGTATAGCCTACTACAGGGCTATGGTATTGCTCCTAGGCTACAAACCTGTACCAGCATGCTATTGTACTGAATAGTGTAGGCAATTATAACACAATGGTAAATATTTATTTATCTAACCATATCTAAATACAGAAAAGGTGCAGTAAAAATTCAACATTATAATCTTATAGGACCACTGTTATATACACGTTCCACATTAACTGAAATATTGTTACACAGCACACGAGTGTATACAAAATTTTCTTTATCCATGCATCTGTTGATAGACACTTCAGTTGATTTCATAACTTGGCTACTGTGAAAAGGGCTGCCATTAACATGGGAGTGCAGTCATCTCTTAACAAACTGATTTCAAATCTATTGGCTAAATACCCAGAAGTAGATCATACGGTAAGTCTATTCTTAGTTTTTTGAGAAACCTCCATAAAATTTTTCATAATGGCTGTACTAATTTACATTCCCAGCAACAGTATGCAAGAATTCCCTTTTCTCCCACATTTTCACCAACACTTGTTATCTTTTGTTTTTTTATATACTAAACATTCTTATGGGTGTGAGATGATATTTCATTATGGTTTTAATGTACATCTCTCTCACTATTAGCAATGTTGTACATTTTTCATATGTATACCAGCCATTCCTTTGCCTGCTTATGAGAACTGTCTGTTCAGGCACTTCACTCATTTTAAAATTTGAGATCCTTCTTATTTTAGATATTAGCCCCAATCAGATGTGTAACTTACAAACATTTTCTCCTAATCATATGTTGTCTTTTCACACTGTTAATTGTTTTCTTTGCTCTGTGGGAGCTTTTTAGTTTGATGTTATCCCACTTATCTATTTTTACTTTTGTTGCCTGTGCTATTTTTGAGGTCAAATCTAAAATACCATTGTCCAGACCAATGTTGTATAGCTTTCCCCCTATGTTTTCTTCTCCAATTTCTGGTATTACATTTAAGTCTCATTCATTTTGAGTTGATTTTTGTATATGGTGTGAGATAAATATCCAATTTCACTCTTCTGCATGCAGATTATTTATCCCAACATCATTTACTGAGGAGATTATCCTTTTCCCATTGTGTATTCTTGCTACCTTTGTCAAGAATCAATTGACTCTACCTGCATGGGTTCATTTCCGGGCTCTCAATCTGTTCTGTTAATCAATGTGTCTATTTTTATGCCAGTGCCATGCTGTTTTAACTACTTAGCTTTGTAGTGTAGTTTGAAATCAGTGGAATGCCTCTAGCTTTTTATTTTGCTCATGATTGCTTTGACTATTTGAGATTTTATGTGGTTCTATATAAATTTTAGGATTTTTTTTCTCTGAAAAGTGACATTGGAATTTTGACTGGGATTGCTGCTTTTACTCATGGTGGAAGCAAAGGGGAGCCCGCATGTGCAGAAATAAGATGACATGAGAGGAAACAAGAGAGAAGTGGGAGACATCAGGCTCTTCTTAATAATCAGCTAAAAGAGTGAGAACTCACTCACCTCTGAGGCAAAACATTAATTAATAATGAGGAATCCACCATCATGAGCCAAACATCTTTTATTAGGCCTCACCTACAACATTGGGATTAAATTTCACCATAAGGTTTGGGGGACAAGCTACCAAACCATAGTAACCTCCTTGGTAAAATTTATTCCTAAGTAGTTTATATTTTCATGTAGCTATTGGTTCTTGATTTCTTTTTTGGATAGTTCATTGTTAGAGTATAGAAATGCTATTAATTTTTTTTCTCATGTTAATTTTGTATCCTGTTACTTTACTGTATTTATTCGTTCTAACAGGTTTTTTTGGTGAGTAATTTAGGGCTTTCTATATATAAGATCATGTCATTAGCAAACAGTATCAATTTCACTTACTCTTTTCTTATTTGGATGCCCTTTTTTCACTTGCCTCATTGCCCTACCAAGGGCTTCCAATACTATGTTGAATAGTAAGGGTAAGAGAGGGCATTCTTATCTTGTTCCACATCTTAGAGGAAAGGCTTACAATGTTTCATTATTTAGTATAATGTTATTTGTGGGTTTGTTGTATATGTATTGTCACAGGATCCTTGGGATGTTGTTTTGCCAGCCAGAAACCTCTGTGACTGGCAGCACCTTCCGCATGAGTATTGCTCATGTCTGCTGGGCTCATTCTGCCCACTCGCCTGGCTGGCTGTGCTCAGCTCATGCTACCAGGCTGGATGCCACACCTGTCAAGGGCAAGCCAGGTGCAGAGTGGCGAGGGGTGTGTGGGTGAGTGAGCATGGGGTCCAGCCACTGTGCACAGCCAGGCACGCTGATTGCTGTGGCAGGGCAGGCAGCTCCAGGCACTAGCACAGGTGCCGACTCCATGTGAGGCTGTGTCTGGACCAGATGTACTGCATACAGCTTCTGCTGCAGGCACCTGCATCCAGACAAGGGGTACACAGTGGCACCCAGAAGCTTGGAGATGCCAGGAGCTGCAGAGCCCCAAAGAGAGCGTCACAGCCCTGACTCTGGAGCCCCTAAATCCAGGTTCCCTGAAGGGCTGCAGCTCTTTTCTCCTCATTGCCTGCAATGTGGTGAGCTTGGGTGGGGCATGTTTCAGCAGCACCGTTTGTGTTACAGCTCTTTTAGTCCCGCCATTTGGGGGGTCCCAAGTTCTTGTCCTGAGTCCAGGAAGAATGAAGTATGTGGACAATTTGAGGGTGAGCAAGGTAGAGAGGAGCTTTATTGAGCAACAGAACACCTCTCAGGAGACCCAGAGTGGGTAGCTCCTATCCACAGACAGGTCATTCCAATGTGTGTGTAGTCGTCAGCAGAGGAGACCTGGAGTGGGTAGCCCCTATCTACAGGCAGGTCATACTGATGTCTATGCAGCCCTTAGCAGAGAGGAGACCCAGAGTGAGTAGCTCCTATCCGCAGACAGATTGTCCCAATGAGTCTGGTTGAGTCTGGGGATTTTATGGCCTCAGAGGGAGGAAGTGCATGCTGATAAGTCCGTGGCCATGAGTGGGCCCAGAAAAAGTACCACAAGTTCTCACTGTGGTCTGTGGACTCCACCTGAAACTGACAGCCCAGCCCCCATGCTTCAGGCTGTCACTGGCTTGAAGGTGGGGCTTCACCAGGAATGTGCCCCTTTCCACCCAGGAGCCTGTCTGCCTCCTGTTGCCATCAATAATGTCCATGGCACCCAGGCTGTTTGTGCCAAAGGGGCCTGCAGGCCTGCGCCAAGCTGCCCTCAGGCCTACCTCAGTCCCCCTCCCATGCTCATTGGTGCCCAAAGTTCAGAGGAGGCCGAGGTGACAGGAGGCTGGCATGTCAGCACTGCCCCAATTGTGTGAACAACTGGCCAGGTTGCAACAGCACCCAGGCTCAGCCACAGCTTTGCTCTGCCTGTGAGCAGGGAGAGGCCAGGCAGCAGGAGCATGCACTTCCAAGCCTGCAGGGCAGGGGGCTTCCTGGGCCCCCAAGAGTGCAGGGATGCCCAGGTCTGCAGCTGCAGTTAGGTGGCTGCAACTGTGACTGGGAGGGTAGGGCTTCCACCTGGTCAGCTTGGAAGTGGGTGGGGCTCCTGCCTGTTCCTGGCTCCTGCTGGCTCCTTAGAGCCTGCAGCCTTCTGCCATGCCTCCCCTGCTGCTTCTGGCATCTTTGCAGCAGCTGCTTCAGACAGGCCGCTGCTGCCATCAGTAGGGCCTTTATTGTATTGAGCTATGTTCCTTCTATACCTAATTTGATGAGAATTTTTATTATGAAAGGGTGTTGAATATTGTCAAATGCTTTTTCTGCATCTGATGATCATATTTTTATTCTTCATTCTGTTAATGTAGTATGTCACATTTATTGATCTATGTATGTTAAATTATTCTTACATCTCAAAGATAAATCTCACTCCATCATGGTGGATGATCCTATTAAGGCATTGTTTAATTGAGTTTGCTAGTATTTTGCTGAGGAAGTTTGCATGTATGTTTATCAAGGATAGTGGCCTGGAATTTTCTCTTGTTGTAGTGTCCTTTTATAGCTTTGGTGTTAGAGTAATGCTGGCCTTATATAAAGAGTTTGGGAAATCCTTCCTCCTATTTGATTCTTTTTAAAGAGTTGGAGAAGGATTGGTGTAAGTGCTTTTTGTAAACATTTGGTGGAATTCAGCAGTAATGCCATCAGGTCCTAAAATTTTTTTGATGAAAGATTTTTTTATTACTGATTCAATTTCCACATAAACTCATCTTGGCTAGCAGCCACCTTTGCAGCTCAAGTCTCTGCTGTCCTGCAGGTACATAGGAGTAGACGTGGTCCAGAGCAGCAGTGATTTATCTCTGAGATGTCATCTCTGCTTAAGGCTTGTTCTGCTGACCCATTTTGATGGAGGGCTTTAAAATTTGAAATCAAGAGGTTGCTGGTTTTACCATGCTGCAGGGTTGTTGGTTTTCAAGGCTACTGTAGAACTGGAGAGAGAGGGAGGGGAATAGACCAGTTTGAAATGATGCAAAGCTTACTGTTTTTTTCAGTTTATTTTATTGAATAAATGCTCCTTGCATAGTTGTAAGCCTTTAGTTCATTTGTATAGTTCTGAAAATGTTGTTTTGACAATTTTTTGCACTATTTTTATTGCTTTTAGAGAGGAGAAGATTTTTGAAGGTTTTTTTTTTTTGCTTATATCACTAAGAAATCACTTTTGCAGCAGTGTGTATCTTGAGTTATACACAGGCAAGATCAAAGATGGAGGCTAAACTACGTGAGTAATATTGCAATTGTGAAGAGAAGTGAAGATATGAGAGGTGCATTACATCAGAAGACTAGGCTGTAGAACCTGAAGCTAGACTGCATGGATTAAGTTCCAGCTCTGCTGTCTTCTAGATGTGTGCCTTGAGGCAAATTATTTATCCTCACTGTACCTTAGTATCCTCATTGAAAAATGGAGATAGTAATATAATCTATCTATAGGATAATCTTGAGGAATAAATGAGTCAATTCATTTAAAGCAGTTGGAATACTGGACATCATTATGACTCAATATTATGTATTATTTTGCCAAGGAGATGTAATAAACAGGTGATTGTTTATAATTGGAGATGAGGAAAAGAAATTAATTTACAATCATACATAAATCTTAACTTAGGCAATAAATGGTTCAGGAGAGCAAACATATTGACAGTGAAGTTTGTCAAGATCTCAGATTCTTACATTTCTGCATGCATTTTTTTTTTTTTTTTTTTTTGAGACGGAGTCTGACACTGTCACCCAGGCTGGAGTGCAGTGGTGCGATTTCGGCTCACTGCAAGCTCCGCCTCCCGGGTTCACGCCATTCTCCTGCCTCAGCCTCCCAAGTAGCTGGGACTACAGGCGCCCGCCACCATGCCTGGCTAATTTTTTGTATTTTTTAGTAGAGACGGGGTTTCACCATGTTAGCCAGGATGGTCTCGATCTCCTGACCTCGTGATCCACCCGCCTCGGCCTCCCAAAGTGCTGGGATTACAGGCGTGAGCCACCGCGCCCAGCCCGCATTCTTGTATTACATGCTAAATACAAAAGTAGACTCATACAGGTATTTGTGAGTTAGCAAACCATTACTGAGTCAGTAAACCATTCTACATTAGGTAGAAAAGTATCATAAGTGAAGGACACAATTCACACCATAGAAAATTGAGCTAAGTGTGCTTTCTCTTTTTAATTGCTTTTTTAGAAATATTTGCATGCAATAAAATTTACTAATTTAAAATATACAGTATCTAACGACCTTCCTACTCATAATATAAAATCTTAATGTTTCAGTTAGGCAGCAAAAATAAGGTCTGGAGATATATTGTGTATACCGTAGTGACTATGGCTAATATTAATTGCATTAGTCCATCCTTGTGTAGTGTTGCTATAAAGAAATACCTGAGGCTGGGTGGTTTATAAAGAAAAGATGTTTATTTTGGCTTATAGTTCTGTAGGCTGTACAGGAAACATAGTGCCAGCATCTGTTTCTGCCGAGGTCCTCAGCAAGCTTACAGTCATGGCCGAAGGAAAAGGGGTAGCCAATGTACCACATAGTGAGAGTAGGAGCAGGAGGTGGGGTGGGAGGGAGGTGCCGCACTATTTTGAGGAACCAGATCTCACATGAATTCAGAGTGAGAACTTACTCATTACCACAGGGACACCATGCCATCTATGAGCAGTGACCTAAACACCTCCCACTAGGCCCCACCTCCAACATTGACGATCACATTTCATATTGGGATAAAATTTATGGGGGACAAGTTTCCAAACCATATAATTAATGTATTGTATACTTAAACATTGCTGAAAGTAAATTTTAAATGTTCTCATCACAAGAAAATAATAAGTATATAAAGTGATGGATATGTTAATTAGTCTGGTTTAATCATTTCATAATGTATACATATGTCAAGACATCATGTTGTATACCATAAATATATACAATTTTTATTTTAGTTTTAAAAATAATTTAAAACCAGCCAGGCACGGTGGCTCATGCCTGTAATCCCAGCACTTTGGGAGGCCAAGGCAGGTGGATCATGAGGTCAGGAGTCTGAGACCAGCCTGACCAACATGGTGAAACCCCACCTCTACTAAAAATACAAAAAAAAATTAGCCAGGTGTGGTGGCGCACCCCTGTAATCCCAGCTACTCAGGAGGCTGAGGCAGGAGAATCACTTGAACCTGGGAGGCGGAGGTTGCAGTGAGCCAAGATCGTGCCATTGCACTCCAGCCTGGGTGACAGAGTGAGAGTCCATCTCAAATAATAATAATAATTTAAAATCGAAACCTTTTTTTTTGAGACAGGGTCTTACTCTGTCGCCCAGGCTTGAGTCGAGTGGCTCGGCTCACTGCAACCTCCGCCTCCCAGATTCAGGCAATTCTCCCCACTCAGCCTCCCGAGTAGCTGGGATTACAGGCACACACTACAATGCCCGGCTAATTTTTGTATTTTTTTAGTAGAGATGGGGTTTCACCATGTTGGCCAGGCTGGTCTCGAACTCCTGACCTTGTGATCCACCCACCTCAGCCTCCCAAAGTGCTGGGATTACAGGCATGAGCCCCCGTGCCTGACCAAAATCAAAACGTTTTTATCACCCCCAAAATTTCTCTCATCCCTTTTGCAATGAGTCCTCTAGCTGTGCCCCCTGGACACTGGCAAACAATAACTTGCTTTCTATCACTATAATTTTACCTTTCCTTGAATTGCATGTAAATGGAATCACACATTAGGTAATCTATCGTGTCTGGCTTCTTTCACTTAGCATAATGCTTTTAGGTTTCACCCATGTTGTTTCATGCCTCAGAAGTTTGTTATTTTGGTCAAAAGTGTGGACCTACACAAATTCATCAGCAGTTGGCAGTGGTTTGGCTGGATGATAAGGGACTTGGAAAGAACAGGATTTGAATGTTGGTGATAAAGAAGTCTGGGAAAGAGGTACGCTAGGTGAACTTTTTGAATGGGCACAGACTATGAATTATCTGTGTTCCAACAAAAGGCATCCACTGTGGATGGCTAACTAGGGATGTCAGATGTGAGTTCTCTACAGAAAGAAGAGACAAAGTTACAGATGAGTGATCATGGCTGGAGTGGAATGCTGAGGAAGAATGCAAAACCAGTCAGAGAAGCCACAGGAAGAAGCTCAGGTGCAGAAAAGGAAGGCAGCAAGACTCTGGCAGAGATTGACTCCTGAGGAACTTGCAATCCCACAGAAAGTGTAGGTGGGAGTTTCTTTGTTCTCCTTACCCTTGTGACAGGCTGCTGAGGACCAAATTGTTGAAGAGCCTCTCTGCTCTTGTAAGCCCAGGCACTGCGGTCAGGAGGAATTTGGAAACTCCCTGGGGGTCCAGCACTTAGTAGCCAGTTTGTGCAGGTTCACACACACTCCCCTTGAACCCAAGTTGAAATGGTAGGCACCGTGTTGGTTGTACACTGATTGTGGGCTACTATCCTGCCCAGAGAATTTCAGTCTTTGTTTCTTCATACCACTAGATCCCCAACAAACATTTTCCAGATGCTGCTCTAAGTGCAGCGAACACAGGGGAACAGTGGGATCCTTGGGAGTTGCAAGATCCTTGGATATCCAGTTCACAGCATGGGCTGCTGCTGGGAGAAGGCACAGTGCAGCCCACCAAAACACCCTTTAGAACAAAGGAAACCAAATAGAAAGCTCTCTCCTGCCTGAGAGCCCCCTACTTGTGTCCAGTGGGTGACTGTGCCCCTCCCAGAAGAGTGATGGGTGCAGTGGTTGTCTCTGAAGGGGAAAAGTGTTGTTCTGCCCAAGCAGACAGGCAACACCAGTGGCTGGAAATGGATGAGGGGAATCTTCTCCCACTCCCCCAGTCTACTGTTGTGGACAGAGCCAAGGTTTTTCCCACTGTGAATTGGCATAAGTGCACTTAGAGTGAGGCTTTCCAGCATGATTCCAGGTGGTTACACCCCCACTGAAAGTGTACCTGCCTCCTGGAATTGCATAAAGGTGGAGCACATCTCCCCCTCCCTACACAGAGCTGCTGTGTTCCTGCAATGGAATGCAGACCAGCCACAGAGTTACCTGTCTTAAACCAGAAAAAGAGGTTCAGCCTCAAGGCTATCTCAGTGGTACCTGCAGATGGGCATTTTCCACGGGCCCTAGTTTCATTGAGACCTGGAGAAAAGGGTCAGTGTCTATCTGAACTGAAAGTAGCAAGCCTGGTGACAGGGATGTAATAGACATGTAGGTTGTGTTCCTGGCTGCCCAGGATAAGGAGGTGGTGAGGTCCCACCGTGGCACCCCTCACGTTGAAGACATCAGCCCATCCCACCATGAGCTCCTTCCACCGCCTCTGTCAAAGCAGGTGCTTCCATTTGTCATCAGAGATGAGCCCGCTCTTACTCCTTATCGCCATCTACTGGACTATAGACTGAACTGCACCACCAAATAAACCTGCTGACAGAAGGGCATAGTTCTAGGGTATGGGAAAAGCTCCCTGAGACCTCCCCACTCCCAGCACCACAGAAGATAATGAGTCAGCTCATATACCCAATATATCACTAAAACAATCAACATTTGAGAAAGCCACTGCACAAAAGCTATCTATAACTAAGGAGTTCATACATAGCCTTGGCCCCCTGAAAGCACTGAGAAACAAAGCCAAAGTATCATACAGAATATATGTTACAGTCATACCCTCAAGGGAGAAAAGAATAAAAAAGTTAAAAGCACCATTCAAATGGAATAAAGTTCAAAAATCAGAGGTCATAACTTCTCTAGATGAGAAGGAATCAGTGTAAGAACTCTGGCAGGACAAAAAGAGTTTTTTGACACCCCCAAAGCATTACACTAGCTCTCTAGCAATGCATCCTAAACAAAATGAAAATTTTGAAAGGACTAAAAAAAGGATTCAAAACATGGATTTTAGGAAGCTTAATGAGATCTATGAGAAAGTCAGAAAGCAACACAAGGAAATCAGAAAAACAATTCAGAGTATGGAAGAATAATTTACTAAAGAGGTAAGTATTTAAAAGAAAACCAAACAGAACTTCTGGAAATGAAATGTTCATTGAAGGAATTATAAAATATAGATGAACTATTTAACAACATACTAAACAAAGTAGAAGAAGGAATTTCAGAGCTTGAGGACTGGTCCTTTGAATTGACCCAGTTATATATAAAAAAGAAAACAAAGGAGAATTTTTTAAAAATGCAGCCAGGAAATATGAAATTATATAAAGCAACGAAATCTATGAGCAATAGCCATTACTCAGGGATAATAATAAAAAGTAAAAACCTTGGAAAATGTATTTGATAAAATCATTCAGGAAAATATTTTTGGTCTAGATAGAAATTAGACATCCAGATACAACAGGTTCAAAGAACATCTGGAAGATTCTTTGCAAGATAAATCTTATCAAAGTATATTGTCATCAGACTGTCCAAAGTCAACATGAAGGAAAAAATTCTAAAGATAGCTAGAGAGGCCGGGCGCGATGGCTCATAACTGTAATCCCAGCATTTTGGGAGGCCGAGGCGGCGGATCACGAGGTCAGGAGATCGAGACCATCCTGGCTAACACGGTGAAACCCCATCTCTACTAAAAATACAAAAAAAAATTAGCCAGGCGTGATGGCGGGCGCCTGTAGTCCCAGCTACTGGGGAGGCTGAGGCAGGAGAATGGCGTGAATCCGGGAGGCGGAGCTTGCAGTGAGCCGAAATCGCGCCACTGCACTCCAGCCTGGATGACAGAGCGAGACTCCGTCTCATTAAAAAAAAAAAAAAAAAAAAAAAAAATATATATATATATATATATATATATATATATATATATATATAATCTAGAGAGAAGTGTGTAATCACTTAAAAAGGAAATTCCGTCAGACTAACAGAAGATTTCTCAGCAGAAACCTTACAAGCCTGAAGAGGTTGAGGACCTATTATCTTTCTTAAGGAAAAAAAATTCTTTAAGAGTTTTTCAATAAAGCTTAAAGTAAGCTTTATAAATGAAGGAGAAATAAAGTTATAGACCATCAAACCCTAAGGAAATTTATCACCGTTACACTGGCCATATGAGAAATGCTCAAAAGAGTTCTCACATGGAAACAAAAGGACAATACTTGCCATCATAAAAACACTCATCAGTATAAAGCTCACAGATCCTATAATGCAATTACACAATTGAGACTACAAAGAAACTAGGTAACATCATTATGACAAGAACAAAACCTCACATATCAATATTAACCTTAAATGTAAATGGCCTAAATGCTCCACTTAAAATATATAGACTGGCAAACTGGATACAAAAACAAGTCCCAACTATCTGCTGCCTACAAAAGACCCAACTAACAGATAAAAATACCCATATGTTCAAAGTAAAGAGCTGTACAAAAAGAGTCCTTCAAAACTGCTGTATCTAAGGAAAGGTTAAACTCTGTGAGTTGAACGCACACATCACAAAGTGGTTTCTGAGAATGATTCTGTCTAGTTTTTATATGAAGATATTTCGTTTTCTTCCATAGACTTCAAAGCACTCTAAATATGCACTTGGAAATTCTACTTTGAAATTCTACTATGAAAAAAGAAAACAAAAACAAGCATGAGTAGCTGTACTTACATCAGATAAAACATACCTTGAAGAAACAACAGTTAAAAAAAAAAAGACAAATGGCTGGGCACAGTGGCTCACACCTATAATCCCAGCACTTTGGGAGGCCGAGGCAGGTGGATCACAAGGTCAGGAGTTCAAGACCAGCCTGGCCAAGATGGTAAAACCCCGTCTCTACTAAAAATACAAAAATTAGCTGGGCGTGGTGGCAGGTGCCTGTAATCCAAGCTACTCGGGAGGCTGAGGCAGAGAATTGCTTGAGCCCAGGAGGCAGAGATTGCAGTGAGCCCAGATCACGCCACTGCACTCCCTCCAGCCTGGGTGACAGAGCGAGACTCTGTCTCAAAAAAAGAAAGAAAGAAAAAAAAAAGAAAGAAAGACAAACAAGGTCATTATATAATGATAAATTGTTTGATTCCACAAGAAGATATCACAATTCTAAATATATATGCACACAACACCAGAGCACCTAGATTCATAAAACAAATACTATGAAACCTATGAAAAGGAATTGGTAGCAATACAATAACAGTGAGGGAATTCAACATCCCACCAACAGCCCTAGACATATCACTGAGGTAGAAAATCAACAAAGAAACTGTGTACTTACTGCACTCTAGACCAAATAAACTTAACACATTTACAGAACATTCAACCCCAGAACTGCAGGATATATATTTTTCTCATCTGTACATGGAACATTCTCCACAATAGGCCATATGCTTGGCCGTAATGAATAAATTCAAAATATTCACAACTATCCTGTCATACCACCGTGGAATAAAATTAAAAATTGATACCAAGAGGAACTCTCAAAATGACACAAATATATGAAAACCAAACAACTTGCTCTTGAATGGCCTTTGGGTAAACAACAAAACAAAGGCAGAAATAAACAATTTTTTGAAATGAATTAAAATAAAGTGATGACATACCAAAACCTCTGGGATATAGCAAAAGTGGTGTTAAGAGGAAAGTTTATAGCATTAAATACCTGCATCAAAAAGATAGAAAGATCTCAAATTAACAACCTAATTTCACTCCTCAAAAACCTATAAAAGCAAGAACAAACCAAACCCAAAGCGAGCAGAAGAAGAAATAACAAAGATCCAGAGCAAAACTAAATGAGGTTGCAACTAAAAAAAAAATAATGAGAAGAAGAATCAATGGAATGAGAAGTTGAATTTCTGAAAAGATAAACAAAATGATAAACCACTATCTAGAGTAATCAATAAAGAGAGAAGATTCAAATAAGCACAATCAGAAATAATAAAGTGACATTACAACAGATACCATGGAAAAACAAAAGATTATCAGAGACTACTATGAGCATATTTATAGACACAACCTAGAAAACTTTGAAGGAATGGATAAATTCCTGAAAGCATAAAATCTCCCAAGATTTAACCAGGAAGAAATAGAAATCCTGAAAGTCCAATGATGAGTAATGAAATTGAATCAGTAATTTAAAATCTCTCAAAAAAAGCCCAGGACCAGATGGATTAACAACTGAATTTTATCAGAGTTACAAAGAAGAGCTGGTACCAATGTTATTAAAACTATTCCAAAAAGATGAGGAGGAATTCCTCCCTAACTCATTCTACAAAACCAGTATCACCCTGATACCAAAATCATGCAAGCATGCAATAAAAAAAGAAAACTACAGGCCAATATCCATGATGAACATAGGTGCTAAAATCCACAACAAAATACCAGCAAACTGAATTCAACAGTATGTCAAAAAGATAATGCATCATAATCAAGTGGGTTTTATTCCTGGGTTGCAAGCATGGTTCAACATACACAAATCAATAAATGTGATTCACCACATAAACAGAATGAAAAACAAAAAGCATATGACCATCTCAATAGATGCAGAAAAAGCATTCAATAAAATCCACAGACAAAAACTCTTGAGAAACTAGGCATAGAAGGAAGATACCTTAAAATAATAAATGCCATATATAACAAACTCAGAGCCAACATCATACTAAATGAGGAAAAGTTGAAAGCATTCTCTCTAAGAACTGGAACAAGACAAGGATGCCCACTCTCACCACTCTTATTCAAAATAGTACTTAAAGTCCTAGCCAGAGAAGTTAGGCAAAAGAAAGAAAGAAAAAGACCTCTAAATTGGAAAAGAAAAAATCAAATTATCTGTTTGCTGATGACATGATCTTATACCTAGAAAAGCCTAAAGGCTCCTCCAAAAGACTAGACTTGATAAATGACTTCAGTAATGTTTCTAGACACACAAAATCAACATACAAAAAATAGTAGCATTTTTATATAATGTTCAAGCTGAGAACCAAATCAAAAACTCAGTCTCATTTATGATAGACACACATGCACACACACACCCACACACAAACACACACACACACACACAATACCTAGAAATACATTGAACCAAGAAAGTGAAAGATCTCTAGAAGTAGAATGATGAAACACTGATGAAAAAAATAATAAATGACACAAACAAATGGAAAAACATCCCAGCTCATGGATTAGAAGAATCAATATTTAAAAAATGAACATACTGCCCAAAGCAATATACAGATTCAATTTGATTTCTATCAAGTTACTAACATTATGTTTCACAGAATTTTAAAAATCCTAAAATTCATATGGAATTAAAAAAAGGGTCCAACTAGCTAAAGCAAACCCAAGCAAAAAGAACAAAGCTGAAGACATCATCACATCGCTTTACCTCACACTATATTTCAAGAGTATAGTAATTAAAACAGCATAGTACTGGTACAAAAGCAGACACATAGGTCAGTGGAACAGAATAGAGAACCCGGAAATAAAGCCACATAACCTACAACCAACTGGTCTTTAATAAACTTGACAAAAATAGACACTGGAGATAGGACACTATATTCAATGAATGGTGCTGGGAAAATTGGATAGTCATATGCAGAACAATGAAGCTGGGCCCCTATCTCTTACCATATACAAAAATCAAATCAAGGTAAAGATTTAAATTTAACATCTCAAACTATAAAAATCCTAAAAACAAACCTAGGAAATACCCTTCTTGGCATCAGCCTTCACAAAGATTTTTTGGCCAAGTTCCCAAAATCAACTGCAACAAAAACAAAAATGGACAAATTGGACCTAATTAAACTAAGGAGCTTTATGCACAGCAAAAGCAACTATAAATAGAGTAAACAGACACCCTACAGGATAAAAGAAAATATTTGCAAACAATGCATCTGTCAATGTCTAATATCCAGAATATATAAGGAACTTAAATCAACAAGCAAAAGACAAATAACCTCATTAAAAAATGGGCAAAGTGTATGAACAAACACTTCTCAAAATAAGACATACAAGAGGCCAACAAACATAATGGAAAAGTGCTCATCACTAATCATCAGAGAAATGCAAATCAAAACAACAATGAGATACCACTTCACACCAGTCAGCATGGCCATTATTAAAAAGTTAAAAAAAAAAAAAAATCAAGGGGTGATGATAAGGCTGCAGAGAAAAGGGAATGCTTACACACTCTTGGTGAGAATGTAAATTAGTTTAACAACTGTACAAAACATTATGGAGATTTCTTAAAGAACTTATAACAGAGCTACTATTGAACCCAACAATTCTATTACTGAGTATATACCAAAAGGAAAATAGATCATTATACCAAAAAGACATGTGCACATGTATGTTCATTGCCATTCTATTCATAATAGCAAAAACATAAAATCAACCTAGGTGTCCATCAATTTGGTGGATTAGATAAAGCAAATGTGGTACATATACACCATGAAATACTATGCAGCCAGAAAAAAGAAATAATGCTCTTTGCAGTAACATGGATGGAACTGTAGGCCATAATCTTAAGCAAATTAAGGCAGAAACAGAAAATCAAATACCTCCCTTAAAATTGGGAGCTAAATCTTGAGCTCACATGAACATAAACATGGGGACAATAAACCCTGTGGGTTACTAGAGGGAGGAGGGAGGAAGGTGAATGTGGGTTGGAAAACTACATATTGGTTACTATGCGTAGTACCTGCTGTAATATATCCATGTAACAAACCCACATATGTAACCCCTGTATCTAAAATAAAAGTTGAAAAAGAAAAAAAGATAGTATTTTTACTGATTAAAAAGAATAATCTAAAAAGTTAGATTCAATGGGATTTACTTTATTCAATGAAATAAAGGTTAATATTAGAGAAGATTTTATTAAGGAGAAATGTATGAAATTACAATCAGATTTTACAGAATTTATAGAGATAAAGATAACCAGCTTAAAACAACTGACTGTGATAAATAAACTTATATTTAAAAAATAGCATTTTTCCTCTAGAGACTGAAAATATACCTAATATAAAATTGATTTCCAAAAATTAATTACATTCATAGCCACTAGTAAAGTTACAAAACATTTTAAAGTAGAAATTGAAAGGAATATAAAGCAAATAAATAACACATGAATGAACAAACATACCAATAGGCAAACTTCTGATGACTTAACTGGAAATCATTTCACTTAGATTGTGTTTGGATCATAGAGAAACTTCAAAGTTAGAATTTTCAGACCACTTAGACAATATCGATAGTGACTCTTGAGGACAACTCCTTCACCGTGCTTTCTCTTCCTTGAGGATACTTCATGTAAAAGATATTTACAAGCTCCCATTAATGCAGGAAAAAAAAGACACCTAAACAAGTTTCTGCTCTAAAGGTGCTGAACAGCACCATAACAGAAGAGCATTCTCCAGCACATGAAAGGTTAAAGAAGAAAAGGGAGTTTAGTGTGAATACACACTTCCTTTTCTGTTGTTTGTTTTTAATAAATACAGAAGTAATTTTTTACTGAGTTGGTAAATACTTTCTTAAAGAAAATAATTATTCTAGTGTAAATAAAGGTAACATTTTTCTTTGCTGTTATGGTCATTAAAAGCACATTCTTATGTAATAAGTTAAAATACTTTGAAATATACCCAACTATTGCCCAGTCTATAAAATGACCAACATAAAAAATAGTCATGGTTTGAAAAAAAATTGATTGTTTTAAAATTAATAGTAAGTTTACAGTATTTTTCTTGAGACATATTATAACCAAATGATATAAAAACAATCTGGATAGAGGTTAAGATGAGCAACTGAAAATTAATCTTCCTACATTGGTGGACATATAAGTGAATTTTTGATGTTTTATTTTAGAAAACATCCATATATAATGCAGTGTGTGCATTTCATTCTCATAACCTTTTTCCAATATGTATTAATACCATGTAAATCTCTTACTTGCCCCAACCGCAAAGACTCTTTTTGCCATAATTGACTGAATCAAGCCAGATATTGGAGTGGACTTTGAACTAAGCTGAGCCAGTTTAATCTCTTGCCCCACTTACCAAAAAACAAAAACAAAACAAAACAAAAAAACTTGTAATAGGAAGACAAGCGGATGGGGAATTGTTAATGCTGGCAGTTATGTTTTGTTTTTTTTTTTCTTTTGATACAGCATCTTGCTCTGTTGCCCAGGCTGAATGCAGAGATGGAGTGACACGATTATAGCTCACTGCAGACTCAAACTTCTGGGCTAAAGCAATCCTCCTTCCTCAGTCTCTCAAGGAGCTAGGACTACAGACATGAGCCAGCATGCCCAGCTAATTTAATTGTGTGTGTGTGTGTGTGTGTGTGTGTGTGTGTGTGTGTGTGTGTGTGTGTAGACAGGACCTTGCTGTGTTGCACAGGCTTGTCTCAAATTCTTGTCTCAAGTGATCTTCTCACCTCACCCTCCCAAAGCACTGGGACTACAGGTCTAAGCCACTGTCCTCAGCAAGTAACAGTGTTCTTAAGATCAGGAAATGCTGGTGCTAAAATTCTGCTTCCATTCTTTCAAATATCAACTACTTCTTCAATTATATGAAACATATTATAAAGATCTTACAAATGAATATTAAGTTTTCTTTTATTCTCAACCTAGCGTAGTTTTAAAAATGCAGCTTTTCAAGTCTGTAACACTGGCTCAGCTGTCACTTTTGAGAACCAGAAATCCTCCTTCCTTTTTAACTTAAGTGTTAAATGTCCCTAATATAAATTCTACTCTAGTGTCCTCTAACATAATTAGCAGCTGATTACTCAAAAGGTGGTATGGTATGGTGAATCTGAGTTTGGGGTCTTGAGTCAGAATGTGAACTCAAAATCTGTTTCTATTACTTATTGTATGATCTTGAGCAGATTACTTACTGCTGTGACATAGTATCTTCATCTATAATATGGTATAATATTAACTTTCTCATATTATAATTATTAGTATTAAATGAGATAATACAATCAAGTAATTGGATGCTTGACATAAGCACACAAATGCATATTATTATTGTCATGTTTCATAACTTGTTGAAACAGTTTACAACTGGTTGTTTTAAAGTATAAGGCACCACTATCTATAGTTGAGCCAAAAATAAGACTTTTTACTCTGTATTTTGCTGTCATTGTGCTAACTCAGTAAATATTATATTCATTCATTAAACAAAGAATGATATAACAAATTAATGTGTGTTGAAATAACTCATAAGCTCATCTCCATCATCTCTTCCACTTAATTGTCCACCAAATCTTATGAACTCTTCTCTGTATATTTCTCTTATATCTATTAATTCCCATTCTTTTACATTATCTTAAGTTGAATCCTTGACAGTTATCATTTAGACTACTGCAATAGTAGTAATATTAGTACAGAGTAGCCTGTGTCATCTCTGTCTCTAGGTTTTCATCTCTAACTCATCTTTCTCACTAATGTTGGGAAATATTTTCAAATTGAAATCTATATCTACATCAACTCAAAACCTTCTGAGGACTCCTCATCACCTATGGAATAAAATAATAACCTTTTATCAAATCATAAATTATTCTGTAAACTGCCTCATTTTACTTTTCTGGCCTCTTTTGCAGCTATTCCACCATTTATAGTTCTGGACGGTAATCACACCAAGTCACCCAAAGTTCTTTAATAAACTGTTGTTTCAATAAGATTTTGAGCCTCTACTACAAGCTAGTGATGTGTTGAGTGCTAAGAAACCTTAAATAACTTAATAGGGAAGATATAAAATAATTAATTGTGTAATTATTGCTCTCATAAAGGTACCTAGACTTTAGTAGGTGCAAATCTGGTTTATGGTTACTTGCTGTAAATTGGAAAATAGCACTGGTATAGTTTGAATCTGTGTCTCTGCCCAAATCTCATGTTGAAATGTAATCCTCAGTGCTGAAGGTAATGTTAGATATGAGTTCTAAATTTCTTTTCAAAGAATCAACATGTCAGTATGTTCGATTCTTTACCTTCTACTTTTAAACTTAACTTCCTTGTAAAGCAACCTTTTTCAATTACCTACTCCACCCTGACTCATTCCGATTACCTGCTCTGTCATAACCATTTTTCCTGCCAAACCACTCACCCCATCACTCTCTTTAAATTAGCCAATTGGAATTAGCTTAGCCTGTGCGGTCTAACCCTAGCCAATAGGGGAACGACACAGCAGCAGGGGCCACATGTGTCAGGGATAAGAACCCCTTCCCCTCCCTTGTCCAAGTGTGTGCTCACCATTGCTCCATCTGTAAGGTTGGACCCTTCTATAGAAGTAACTTGCCTTGCTGAGAATTAAAAAGAAAATTTTATATTCGAGTGCTATTTCTTTTGTGGCACCAAAACTTTATTTATAATGGTAAGGACTTGTGGAAGGTGATTGGGTCATGAAGACAGGGTTCTCATGAATGGTTTAGCGCTATCCCCCCCTTGGTGCTATATAGTGAGTGAATTATCAGGAGATCTGGTTGTTTTGAAGTGTAAGGCACCTCCCCTCCCCTCTCTCTCATGCTCCTACTCCAACCATGTGGTGTGTGCTCTCCTTTACCTTTCACCATGACTGTAAGTTTCCTGAGCGTTCCCCAAAAGTTGAGCACATGCCAGTGTCATGCTTCCTGTACAGACTGTAGAACCATGAGCCAATTAAGCCTCTTTTCTTTATTACCCAGTCTCAGGTATTTCTTTATAGCAATGCAAGAATGGACTAATATAGAAAATTAGTACTGAGAAGTGGGGCATTGCTATAAAGATATCTGAAAATGTGGAAGGAACTTTGGAACTGGGTAGTGGGCAGAAGTTGGTTTCACTCGCATCCATGTGAAGAGACCACCAAACAGGCTTTGAGTGAGCAACAAGGCTGTTTATTTCACCTGGGTGCAGGTGGGCTGAGTCCAAAAAGAGAGTCAGCAAAGGGAGATAGGGGTGGGGCCATTTTATGAGATTTGGGTAGGTAAAGGAAAATTACAGTCAAAGGGGGGTTCTCTGGCGGGCAGGAGTGGGGGTCACAAGGTGCACAGTAGAGGAGCTTTTGAGCCAAGATGAGCCAGGAGAAGGAATTTCACAAGATAATGTCATCAGTTAAGGCAGGAACAGGCCATTTTCATTTCTTTTGTGGTGGAATATCATCAGTTAAGGCAGAAACTGGCCATCTGGATGTGTACATGCAGGTCACAGGGGATATGATGGCTTAGCCTGGGCTCAGAGGCCTGACAGTTGGAAGAGTGTGGAGGGCTCAGAAGAAGACAGGAAGATGAGGGAAAGTTTGGAACTTCCTAGAGACTTGTTAAATTGTTGTGACCAAAATGCTGATGGTGATATGGATGTTGAAGTCCAGGCTGAGGAAGTCTCAGATGGAAATAAAGAACTTATTGGGAACTGGAGTAAAGGTCACTTTTGCTATGCTTTAGCAAAGAGGTTGGCTGCATTGTTCCCCTGCTTTAGGGATCTGTGGGACTTTGAACTTGAGAGTGATGATTTAGGGTATCTGCTGGAAGAAATTTTTAAACAACAAAGTGTTCAAGATGTAGTCTAGCTGCTTCTAATCGCCTATGCTCAGATGTGTGAGTAAAGAAATGATGTGAAATTGGAACTTATATTTAAAAGGGAAGCAGAGTATAAAAGTTTGGAAAATTTGCAGCCTGACCATGTGGTAGAAAAGAAAAGTCCATTTTCAGGGAAGGAATTCAAGCAGGCTGTGGAAATTTGCATATGTAAAGAGGAGCAAAGTGCTAATAGACAAGACAATGAGAAGACTTGAAGGCATTTCAGAGACCTTTGTGGCAGCCCCTCCCATCACAGGCCCAAAGGCCTAGGAGGGAATGGTTTCAAGGGCCATACCCAGGTTCCCACTGCTCTGCACAGCCTTGGGACAGTGCTCCCTTCATCCCAGCTGCTTCAACTCCAGGCATGGCTAAAAGGGGCCCAGGTACAGCTCAGGCCACTGCTTCAGAGGGTGCAAGCTATAAGCCTTGGTGGCTTCCAAGTGGTGTTAAGCCTGTAGGTGCACAGAATGCAAGAGTTGAAGCTTGGGAGCCCCCACCTAGATTTCAGAGGATATATGGAAAAGCCTAGATGTTCAGGCAGAAGCCTGCCACAGGAGCAGAGCCCTCACAGAGAACCTCTACTAGGGAAGTGCAGAGGGAAAATGTGGGGTTGATGCCACCACCGAGAACCCACATGGGCACTGCCTAGTGAAGCTGTGAGAAGAGGGTCCCCTTCTCCAGAACCCAGAATGGTAGAGCCACCAGCAGTTTGCATCATGTGCCTGGAAAAGCCACAAGCACTCAACACCAACCCATGAGAGTAGCTGTGGGGGCTGACCCTGCAAGGCCACAGGGGTGAAGCCGCCCAAGGCCTTGGGAACCTAGCCCTCACACTAGTGTGTCCTGGATATGGGACATGGAGTCAAAGGAGATTATTCTGGAACTTTAAGGTTAAAAGACTTCTCTGCTAGGTTTCAGACTTTCATGGGGCCTGTAGCTGCTTTCTTTTGGCTAATTTTTTTTTTCCTTTTGTAATGAAAGTATTTACTTTCATTACAGATGTGAATTACAATGTGACTGTGAATCCCATGTAATTAATTTGCTGGACCTCAATATGACACAGAATACTGTGGATTGAGTAGGGTGCCAAATCTTGTCACAAACTTAAAATGCTTATCATGTATGTTATTTTCATAATATATATAGATATCATTATATGGAAAACAAACATATACAACAAAACCCCAAATTAAAAAAAAAAATCCAATGCAAACATGGAACTCAAACCCAGAAACCCTAACTCTCAATTCAGTGCTCCTTGTATGACATCATGGAGTTAATGAGTGTCACCTATATGGCATCAGGAGATAAAGAAGGAACTGTCTAGTATTGTTGAGCCCCTGTCATGTTCCAGGATCTGTACATATATTAATGACATTTACTCCTCTCAACAATCCTGTCAGGCATATGAATCCTATTATGTAGATTAGGAATGTAAGGGCCAAAGAGGTTAAATAAATTGCCCAAAATTATATATCTGAGTTAGAATATCAGCCCGTGTCTTTCTTTTGAACAGGAGTATGACATGATAGAAAGGGGAGACTGACAAGGAACAGGAAGGCAAGAGAGGGAAGTATGAGTTCGTAGGGGTATCTTGACATTCTCTCTTTCATGAAACTTCCTGACAAAACCCTATGGCCTGAGCTTTCCAAACATTCCCCTTCCCTGTCCTCTGCCCCAGCCTTTTTTTCTCTCTTGTATCTCTTTTGGTCTCTTGAGCTTCTGCCTCAGAGACATCTCAAAGCATCAGAAGGAGGAGGGAAAAATGGGGACTGAGGGATTGAGGTACAGGATAAAGGAATCTTTCCTAGCTTGGCAGTGTTCTCTATCTATGGGAGGAAGAGAAAGTGGAATCTCTGTATCATCTTTCTTAGTCCCGATGACTCAACTTTTTTTGCATACATTTTAAATCCTCTCCTAACCAACCCAGCCATCTCAGGAGGACCTTGATGAGTCAGTGACATCTGAATAAAGTGAGTGGATTCTGTTATCTGCTGATTCCTCTTCAAGTGGTCAATTATCCCAAGTTTTCTTTACTTATGTCTAATATAGCCATCTTCTTATTCCTCTCTATACCTAATAAAATCCCAAACCTCTCAATATTTTCCACATATATTAATTCTGTTGATACTTAGACTAATATCACTTTCTTTATCTTTTCCTCTCATAGCTGGTCCTTTATTTATTCATAATATACCTGTTCTCCCTACAGTATTTTTGATCATCCATTTCCAGTCTATCCTTTCAACATTCTAGTTATCTCCACCTTATCTCTCATTGGTTTATTGTCTATATAGCAAGTTCATTTTACCCAAATATTATATCTCTTATTCATGTAAATCCAATCTTCTTGCACTTCATCTAACTTCCTCATGTTTTATCTGGTCCCTGCAGATCTACAATCAATGCATGTTTTACTTGCATATAATTCCAACTCTGTCATATTCTCAGTTAGCCACTTAAATTCTCTATTCCTGACCATTTCCACCAAAATCCTTTTTATATACTTTTTTCTTTATATTCCATTCCTGTTATCTGCAATTCATCTGTTCTGCCCACATCATACCTTTCTCCTTTTTGCCATGCATTCATGCAACCACATTATAAACCTTTAATAATCAGTAAGTGAAACCTTATAACAGGAACTACTGTCAGAAGGAGAGATAGATGCTGCAACAAATAATCTAGTGTATAGAAATATGGGTAATTTTGGAGGGGTAATAACTAAGGGACTAAAACATTACGATAAAAATTCCTAGGAAGAGAGTGGGTGTTTTTGACAGAAACATGTTTAAAGTTACAGAGTTATATAACGTCATGACGTGTTTTTAAAAAGTTAAATAGTGGGCAATGATTAGATTGCTGTATAACAGCTAAAAGGAAATACATTTTGATTCTTTACTGGAGGATTTTGTATGTGTTCTCAAAAACTGGATGCTCTTGTTGTCAGCAGTTTCTATACAGAAATATGACTCTGAAAACAAGTGGGAGTTATATTGATGAGGGTACAGGCTGGAGGAAAAAAGACCAGGTAAGATCCTATCAAAATAGTTAAATCAAGGAATATCAATGACCTGCTGTGAGGAACTAGGAGGAAGGCAGTAGAAATAGGACAGAAGAAAAGGGACTGATATGAGAGATAATTAAAGAGGCATTTTAGCTAGAACTTGGATTAGTTAAGTGTGGGATGTGTGTTGGGGGAAAGGGTGGATGGGTACAGAATATCTAGGAAACTTCCAGATGGCTTGCATAGGCGACTGTATGAAAGCTAATGCCATTTATTGTAATAGAGGAATAACTTGCTTGGGAAAGGTTATTCTAGACATAGTAGATTTGTGGAACTCCTGTGACATCCATGGAATTATATCCACTCCATACTCCACCATTAAGGACGTGTGGAACCACTTCAGCTACAGAGGTCCTCCTTTACATCCACCTGATCAATAGCTGCAGGGATGTAGCAAGCAAAATGATATATAGACTTTCATGGACTCTAATGAGACAAGTAACCACAGGAATCTCACTGAACCTGTGAAGGGAAAAGTTTAAAAAAAAAAAGTACCTAATGTCTCTATGGATAGAAGCCTTATGAACCAAGACTTGAAGGCTAAATAGGATGTAGCCATGCTCATGGAGATTGCAGCATGAGGAAAGCTATGAGGTGATACACATGGTGTGCGCTGAGAGCTGCAAGGTATAAAATACAGTGTAGACTGTGGTAAGAAATAAGGTTTAGGTGGAAGCAGTGGCAAAATCATGAAGTGCCTATAGGCCTTGTACCTGTAGGCTAAATGATTTGAGCATTTATTGTGTACACAAAGGGACTATGGACAAGTTTTAAGGAGAGTAAAATGGTCAGTTTTGAGCTAAGATCTCACCTTTAAGGGTAAGACTATAAGCAGAAAAATCAGTTGGGAGTCCATGTGTGAAAGGCTATTATTTTCAAGTATGCAGAGCATCAGACATGAAGGTTGAAGTGACCAAAGGATATGAATGAAGGTCCGAGGCCAAAAGGATCAAAAGCAAAAAGAAGGGTTTATGAGGTAGGTATTGAGGAGAAAGGATCAAGGCTAAGGTCATAAACAGCAATTGTAGGTTTGATGTTCCCACTTATCTATGTATGTACATGTATGGCATTGGGACAGGCATGTAGCTTAAACTTTCAGGGATGAGAAGGTGAAGATATGCCCCTATAACTAGATTATAAGATCCTGAAGACTCAGCATGTGTCTGTGAACCTTTATATACCACAACTCTTAGCCCATGGTCTAGAGCATTGCCGATCAACCATCAATTTTGAAATAAATAAAATTGTGGGTGTGAATGGTAAGAATAGGAGTGATGGGAAATGAAAGCCAGGGTCATAGGTATTTTGTAATTGCATTACAGTATTAAGAGAAATTCAAGGGCTCAAGTACTGAGTAATGCTCAAGTAATGATAGCAGAGCATACAGAGAAGAGAAAGTCAGGCATAAAATTATTAGCAGGTTGTTTTAATTTGTGAGCACATTCTGCCCCCACTAACCTCATAGGGACAGATTTAAGACTAAAAGGTAAGAAATCTGAGAAGAAATCGCACCCAGATGCTCAGCTGACTCTACCCCATTCTCCTTTCTAAACTCCACACTCTCTCCCAATGCTATATCTGTACAGGGGAACAGGGTAAAAATAACCCTTCCTTCATATCAACTCCCATGTAAAAATCCCAACTTCTTGTCTACATGAGACACAAAAATGGCTTGAAGTTTTTAAAGGGAAAGGGAAATTTTTATCTTTGATACCAAGGTAAACAAACAGTATCCTAGTAAATGTATGTTTTTATATGGGCCTTAATGTTAAAGGAAGATACTCTATCCTCATTTCAAGATACTTAGTACAACTTCCAGCATCTTGTAATTCTTAGTCTTTCTGCCATCCAGCATCCATTTCCTAATCTGATTTCCTAGTGAATCTCATGTCTTCCTTGTAAGTACTGGGTTCTGCAGACTTCCACTCTACAGGTACTGTGACCTTCTGGTATTCTGCTTTTGTCTTTCTTTCCTCCTGGCAGGAAGGAACTGTTTCTGTAACTGATCTCAAAGATTCTCTCTCCCAGCTGTACATCCAAGATGTATTGTACAGTCCCTCCTTTACATCACCTAAATATTTTGGAAGCTCCAAGGTCCTGACTTCCCAGTTCCACCTCTTGCTATTTCTGCAACCCAGAATTAGTCACTTAAATCTATATTTCAGTTTTTTTAGGCATACAGTTGTAGCTATTAGTAGTACTAGCCCACAAGATTGTTGTTAAGATCAAGCGAATTAATACTGCAAATGTTTTACAGCAGTGCATGCAATAATAACAGTGCCTGTGCTAATAATAACTCAATTGTGTTATATATGATTGTTATTCCTCCATTGTGTAACTTATTTCCTCAAAACAGAGTCATGATCCAACTCAAAGACAAACTCTCATTTTAGGGCAGCCGAGACTCTTTCAATTTTTTGGTTTTGATCTATGTTCTTTGGGGACAAAATAGTGTCATTTTTCCCCAGTGCATCTCAATGCATGCTTCTCCAAAGGTCAGAACAGACTCCTTCCTATCTTGTTTCCAAAAAAAAAAAAACATTTATTTTTGTATGTTTGCCTTAGCTCATTTCCAGATTAAAGAAGAGAGCAGTGGCCTCAGCTCAGTGATTAATTACATGAACTCCTTACGTGGTATTCGACCAATATAAGCCCATTAAGAGAAAGGCTGGGTTCTTGTTGTGGCCTACTGAAGACTCTCTACTCTCATCTCCTGAAGAGCAGTAAGAGAGACCAATGACATGGAGTGGCGGAACCATAGTGGGAGAGTGAGTGAGTTTGTGTTGCTGGGCTTCCCTGCTCCTGCGCCACTACAGGTACTATTGTTTGCCCTTTTGCTGCTGGCCTATGTGTTGGTGCTGACTGAGAACACACTCATCATTATGGCAATTAGGAACCATTCTACCCTCCACAAACCCATGTACTTTTTTCTAGCTAATATGTCCTTTCTGGAGATCTGGTATGTCACTGTCACTATTCCCAAGATGCTTGCTGGCTTTGTTGGATCCAAACAGGATCATGGACAGCTAATCTCCTTTGAGGGATGCATGACACAGCTCTACTTTTTCCTTGGCTTGGGCTGCACTGAGTGTGTCCTTCTCGCTGTTATGGCCTATGATCGCTATATGGCCATCTGCTATCCTCTCCACTACCCAGTCATTGTCAGTGGCCGGCTGTGTGTGCAGATGGCTGCTGGCTCTTGGGCTGGAGGTTTTGGCATCTCCATGGTCAAAGTTTTTCTTATTTCTGGCCTCTCTTACTGTGGCCCCAACATCATCAACCACTTTTTCTGTGATGTCTCTCCATTGCTCAACCTCTCATGCACTGATATGTCCACAGCAGAGCTTACAGATTTCATCCTGGCCATTTTTATTCTTCTAGGGCCACTCTCTGTCACTGGGGCCTCCTATGTGGCCATTACTGGTGCTGTGATGCACATTCCTTCGGCTGCTGGACGCTATAAGGCCTTTTCCACCTGTGCCTCTCATCTCACTGTTGTGATAATCTTCTATGCAGCCAGTATCTTCATCTATGCTCGGCCAAAGGCACTCTCAGCTTTTGACACCAACAAGTTGGTCTCTGTACTGTATGCTGTCATTGTACCATTGCTCAATCCCATCATTTACTGCCTGCGCAATCAAGAGGTCAAGAGAGCCCTATGCTGTACTCTGCACCTGTACCAGCACCAGGATCCTGACCCCAAGAAAGCTAGCAGAAATGTATAGAAGGGATGTGTGAAATCTGATAAAATGCTATTAAACTTGGGATCAATGTGTTCTATGAAGTCCAGTGGAGTTCTTAGGGCCTAAATTGGGGGCCAGAGTTTCAAAGGCATCACTATGGAACTAGGAATACTTTCTTTAACTAGTCCAAGAGGAGAGAGAGGAATAGGTTGCAAGCTAGAAAATGGATTTCTGCAGGACAGGGCCATAAAATACAGGATAGAGCTGGGTCCACTATTGTCTGTCCCTTTGTAATTTGCATAGACAAGGTTCCAATCAAGGAAGCACAGGCTTCATTACGGAAAAGCAACACAAGACTTTTTGATAAGATCTCTATTAGGTAGCAGAGGCCCAGGAGATATCATTCTAGCGTGTGTTACAAGGCAAGGAGATAAGAAACTAGGAATTTTTGTTTTGGGAACATATCACCTATCAAAACATAATGGTTTCTAGGTTTATTTTCAAATTTACTGTGGTCAGTGTCCACATTGAACTAGTGGCTGAGTGCAGTTGTTTCATCAATACTCTGTCTCCCTGATTAGACTATAAGCACCATGGTGACAGGATCAGATTTTCTTTTACATCCTTTTATTACCATGGGCAGGAACAGTATCTAGTGCATGATGGCTATGAATATGTATAATGAATGAATATAGTTTGGAACCATGTAGGCAAGGCATGTGTGTCATGCCTATATGTGGGGTTGGCAGGTGCAGGAAGTAAACCCCTCATACTTTACTAGTATGCAGAGAGATACAAATTGGCTCAGCCTTGCCAGAAAAAAATTTTGAAAATATGTATTACAAATCCTAAAAATATTGCAACCATTCTGATTCGGAAAGATTTGTGCAGATAGACACTTTTACTTATAAATACAGAAACAAGGAAAGGAAATAAGCAAAATATGCTCAACTTTCGCAAACAGGGCACTGGTCAAATAAATTGTAGCTCATATGTTACATGGAAAACTATGCAGAAATTGAAATAAAGTGATCTAAATAGAGTTAATGAAAGAAAAAATATTTCTAACTTAATAAAAATATTATGTTATATAACAGTATCAAAAATATCAGCCATATTTGCTTGTTTAAACAAGACTAGAAGGAATATGACTAAAATGCTGGCTAGATAATGCTGGACTGCTTACACCTGTAAATTGCATTCTGTGGCTAAGCATTGCCATCAATATATTTATTTAAATGCTTTTTTTCTTAGCCCATATTATATATAACTTTATTTATCTGGACAGGGAGATGGATACAGGGTATGTCAGTATGATTTTCAGAAATTTAGCTCCCTACTGTCACCCGACAACCAGAACTCTGAAGACAGTGAAGATTCTATCTCCAGATATGGATCCAACTGTTGCTCAAGATGTGGGATCTAACTTTATTGCTGTATGTTACTTAATAAAATTTACAAAAGGATATTACCAAGGATATCATGCATTATTTGCTAGCCCATACTTATTAAAAGTTTTAATATAATGTGCATATCTATTTGTGCCTAAACAGTATAAGTATCTTGTTGTAATAATTTTTTAAATGACTGGATATAAAGTTCATCAAAAATCTACTGTCGAAGTGTCCCCGTAGAAGAAGTTTCTGAAATGGGGTTGTGATCAGGGATGGGAGAGTCCTCCTCTAGGCATTGTTATTACAACTCTTTTATAAACTCTTTTATAAGTTAACTCGAGTTAATAGGAAGTAAAAGCATAATGTTGAATTTCTTCATTGTGCTTTTCTTTTATTTTCCAATGCTTTAAAACACCTCTAATTCTGATTTCAAGTATTGGAATAGGGTTTAGCACAGTATTCCTCACATACTCACCTTTCAATAAACCACGAATGAGTTTGAGTCCCATGTACTATGGTGAGATTGACACCTCTCCAGACGGGGACTGAATTTTTAGTGAACATATGACCCTCAGGACTCATATTGAAATTGAGGTCACAAAACTTTGTAAACTTTTTCATGTGAAGTATTGATTATCAGATTAAGTATCCCCCATCCTCCATTTATGTAACTGATTTTTCCCATAAACGTAGATGTAGAACTTTATTTTATCCTTGTTCCATTTGATCCTGTTTGTTTTCGACCATCTTTGTAATCTGCCGGTCTTTCAAAGTATTGCTTAGATAATATAAGTCTTTTATAATTCCCCTTTGCTAATACAGTATCTGGAGAAGCTTCTAGTCTCTTGCATCAGTACAAGAGGTGGGAGTACTGGATCTACCCGGGTTATTCAGAGTGGCCAGAGGCAACTAACAACTACAGGCAAGTGAGGATTAATATAAATGACTTCTGTGCTCCAGGTGTCTAGTGGTTTCCAATGTTGAGTAAACTCCAGATTTCTCAGTCTGCCTTTTAAGTTTCTTCACAGCACATTCTTAATTTTCCTTTTTGTCCTTATTTTAATTTTTTGTCCACTACAAACCTTGTACAGGTGAATTCTAGATTGTGATTAACAATTTTTATTTGAGACTAATAAGCCAGTGTATTTCACTGTTTGCTAAAACATCACATTGACCAGGATCAGGAAACAAAAATCCTTCTTGATAAACAGCATTTTAAAAATAACAATTGTTCTGCAGCTCTGTAAACCCTATTTCCCTTCATTAAAAAACCCTTACAGTTATGAACAAGTAAAGACTGAGAAATATCAGATCAAAGCTTGTCAAAGAGACAAGATACCTATATGGAGTACGGTATATTGGATTGGACCCTGGAACATAAAGTAATACTAACAGAAAAGATAATAAAATCTGAATAAAATGGCAAAATCTGAATAGTTTAACAGTGATGTATCAATTTTGGTTTCTTATTTTGACAAGTATGTATGCTAATGAAGGATGAATATATTAGAAGAAACAAACTGAGAGATGGGTGTGTGAAAAACTCTCTTTAGCATCTTTGCAATTTTTCTGTAAGCCTAATATTGTTCCAAAATTTAGAAGTTTATTTTAAAAAGAAACACGTTGTTAGTTTTTCCTTACCAAATATTTTAAGAGAAGTTTGATTTATTTTACTGGCTTTCATAAAATAAAGATATATTTTCCCTTCCTTTATAGTTACAATAATATGTACAGCTAACACTTGACTTTTTTGAATATTTACCTGAATTTTTTTATTATCATGATATTCATGAATTGATGCTGTTTTTATTTAGCTAATTGATAAGACAGAGATGAAGTGAAGTATAATTAACAAAATTGATAAAGTTAGTGCTTTATATACTTAGCAACTCTAAAAAATTATGCCAGCTCTTTTGAATATCACCATTTGGTGCCAGCAAGAATAAGTGGACATCTCCGTGTGCTTGGTAGAGAAGCGGGCCTATAGGGCAGGTGTATTCATTTTCTCTTAGAAGCATTCCTCAGATCAAGATTGCCTTGTGTGATTTTCATGTTTCATAGTCACACTTCATGAAAACCAATGGCCCCCGCCTTCCCAGAATTAGTGACAATACACAATATGCCTTTCAACAAAGATTTTGGTTGGTTGGAGTGGGGAAAGAGCTAGGTCCGTTCTTCTCCACCAAATATCAGTCACACATAGGCCTTCAGATCCTCAAGGACTGGAGAACATTTTCTAAGACTTCTCATTTTTTCAGTCCCTTGCTTCAGCTCCCTGCAGCTAACTTTGGCTACTCACCAAGACACAAGTGCATCTCCTTGGCCTTTGTTCTTGCAAAACTTCTAGCAGTTGACTCCAGATTTTATGGTTACTTTTGGCACAATTAGCAGCAGAGACAGAAATAACTAGGCTGTGGATGACTTGATGGACAGAAGGGTCTGTCAGTTCACCCTTTTCTTAGCATGCAGGGCACACTTCACAGATGTTAATGTCTGAGTGCTTCCTGGAGTCCAAAGCAGTGGTGGGGCCTCTTGTCACTGAGGAGGAATTATTATCCTATAGCTTCACTGTTTGCTGTCATTACTCTGCGTTCCTTCCTGTTCTAGGCTGAAAGCCTAGAGGGCTCTACACTGCAAGTCGTCTCATCTAATTTGTACTATTCAAATCCTGGGTGTAGTTCATATTCCAGCAGAGGTAATATTTTACATTCCTATAATGAAGACAAAGCAGCTTTAGAAATGTTTTCAAATGATTTTTTATGTTTATTATTATGTATAATTTGCCCATAGTTTTCTTTTTTTTCCAACTTTATTGAGATATGGTTGACAAATATGACTAGAATGTATTTAAGGTATACAGTGTGATGATTTGATATACGTATACCCTGTGAAATGATGACCACATGCAAGCTAATTAACAGAGCAACATATCAATCACCTTACATACTTACCCTCTGTGCGTGTGTGTTGTGAGAACACGTGACATCTACTTCTGCAGCAAATTTCAAGTACACATTTTTATTAACTTCAGTCACCATGCTATATGTTGGAACCTCAGAAATTATTCATCTTAAAAATAAAAGTTTGTATCTGTTGACTAATATTTTTCATTTCCTCCCACAGTCACCCCAAACCCTTGGCAAACACCACTGTACTCTCTATTACTGAGTTAGACTCTTTTCTAGCTTCCGCATTAAGCAAAATTAGACAGCATTTGTATTTCTGTGTTGGGCTTATTCCACATAGCATAATGTCCTCCAGGTTGGTCTATTTCATTGCAAATGACAGAGTGTCCTTCCCTTTTAAGGGTAAATAATATTCTATTGTATAAATAGACCACATTTTCTTTATCCATTGGTCTGTTGATAGACTCTTAGGTTGTTTCCAATATTTTGTCTATTGTGAATCATGCTGCAATAAACATGGAGTGCAAATATGTCTTGGAAACAGCGATTTAATTACCTTTGGATATATAGTCAGAAGTGGGAATCTTGGATCATACAGTAGTAATAGTTTGAATCTTTAGACCTCCATACTGTTTTCCATAATGGCTGTACCATTTTACATTCCCATGAATTGTGTACACAGGTTCCATTTTCTCCCCATACCTACCAACACTTGTTTTGCTTTGACTTTTTTGGTTTTCAAAAATAATACTAACAGGCAAGACGTGATATCTCGTTGTTTTTTGTTTTTTTGTTTGTTTGTTTGTTTGTTTTCTGAGATGGGGTTTCGCTCTTGTTGCCCAAGCTGGAGTGCAATGGCGCGATCTTGCCTCACTGCAACCTCCTCCTCCCAGGTTCAAGCGATTCTCCTGCCTCAGCCTCCTGTGTAGCTGGAATTACAGGCATCCACCATCACACCCGGCTAATTTTTTGAGTCTGTGGATTATACAAGTAGTGAGGTCTTTGGGACTCAAAAGCATATGGACAGAACTTAAATCTATGTAAGTGGATGAAATTACTCAGGAAGAGATTCTTGATTGAGAAGACAGGGAAGTCCATGTTTGTATCATCTGAATGTGGAAACATTCAGAAAGAAAAACGAATCCAATAAGGCAAAAAAGGTTAGGGATTAAAGAAGCAAGCCAGAGTTGTGTGGTGTCTGGAAGCCAAAAGAAGAAAAATTTCCCAACAGAAGGGTGAGGTCAATTATATCAATGTTGCTGAAAGGTTGATGAAGGAGAATATGGAGGTAGACATTTTATTTAGCACATTAATGATAATTTTCACAAAGAACAGGTCCATAGAAAGAGACCAGAGCTTGATTGAAAGTGTGTTAAGATGCGAATAGAAGATCAGCAGAGGAGAAAATGGGCATAAGTGTTCCCTTTGTATTTTTTTTTTTTCCTGTGAAGAGAAGCTGAAAATAATGCTACAGTTACTGAGGGGGATTGGAGTCATGCAAAGACTTCTTACTTTATTTATTTATTTATTTATTTATTTATTTATTTATTTATTTATTTTGTGACAGAATCTCACTCTGTTGCCCAGGCTGGAGTGCAGTGGTGCAATCTCGGCTCACTGCAGTCTCTGCCTCCCGGGTTCAAGCAGTTATAATGAGGGAAAACAGGAAGTGTACACGCAGGCACAGATATGTGGAGGATTTGAAGAGGGCTTTGTAGCCAACTGCTTCTGTTCTAGTGAAGTGTGAGGCAAGGCATCAGCTTAGAATGATGGTGTGGAATGTTCATTTTAAAACTGACTGAGACTAGGTTCCAGAAGTATAGTCATGCACCATGTTCAGGAAGGCAAGGCTGAGTATTGTAAAAAATGCTCAAATTACAAATTAATTTATCAGTTAAATATATTCACAATCAAATTACAAGTGAGCTATTAAGATGTGAATGATAGAATCAAATGTCTTCCAAAAGAGTAAAGAGGAGAAAGAAGCTAGAACTGAAGAGTTAGCCAAAATATAGCTTACTAGAACATGTCTGATGAAGGTAGTAAAATAATAGAAAATGAAAGGATTACTTTAAAATATTGCTAGAAAAATGGTACCTTTGACAAAAGTTGAAATATCATCATTTTCACATGTAAAGATAAGTTTGACATTTATTGTTAAAGTTAAACATATAGAGTGACAAAACACATAAAATATATAAATTGTTACCTAAATTGAACTGTATGATGCACAGCAAAGACGTCAATGAGAATAGAAAATTATATCCTAACAGTAAAAATCACTGGAAAAAAAAATAAAAGATATCCTTCACTATACAAATATTTTAAATATTTCTCTTTCTAAAAATCTCTGCCATGCAGATATTAGAAGCCAAATAACAAATTGAAAAGAAGTTATTACCACAAATATAACAAAGTCTCCGTGTTCCTAACCTGTAAAAAAACTTCAACAAATCAATAAGAAAACTGTGGACAAGTTACTTAAGCAAATTAAAATAGGCAAATTTTATACCTTATCAATTAGTGAAGACTACTTATATGTAAAATTTAACATGAAAAAATATGTAGTGGGCTAAGTACACTTATATGTTGCTGGTAAGAATGCAAAATATTTAACATTTTAAGAAAACAATTTGTCTTTTCATATGAAGAGTATTAAACAGATTTTTAACCTTGGTTCGAGTAATTTCACTCATAGGAATTTTCTATAGAAAAAAAGTCACACATCCAAGAGATTGACATTATTGATTTCACACACACATACACACACACACAGAGACATACACACACACACACACACACACACACACACGACAATGTTAAAGGTAAAACAATGATAAAATAGCTAATAATGTTACAAAACACCCATATGATGTAACATTATACCATCACTCAACAGTATTTTCAGGGCCATTTATTCTGTAGGTGTTAAATTTATTAAATACTTATTATACGACACATGCTGATTACAAGTATAAAGATGTCTTTATATTTATATTTACTAACTTGTTTCATCCTCACAACACTACAAAGTAGGTCTTATTGTTAATGTCAACTTACACTTTGCAAACTTGCAGACTTGGGCACAAACAGGTTAAGTAATATGCTAAAAGTTATAGAAATAAGTGGGGTGTATTCAATTCTAACTTCTGTACGCTGATAGCTGACCCTAGACTCTTTGCAGTGCTGTATACTGCCACTATATAATATAGGAAAAATAACTATATGCTTGTAGGTTAAAAAAATCTGTTTTACACACACACATCAACTCAGTAAAATGCATGCCTGTATTAAAATGGAAGGAAATTCATATAAATACGTGTAGGAATTATCTCTACTCAGCCTTGCCTTCCAAACATGATATACTACTACTATACTTTCTGAACCTAGTCTCAGTTACTGTTTTAAATTACTATAGGAATTGATTTAAAAAGCGTTAGCGAATCTTCAAACAGCAATATCCCCCAAAAGAGTGTCATGTAATTAGCCATATCATTTTATATTATTTTTAATCTTCAAAATGCAACTCACAGCTTTTGTTCACATCTTTTGTTTTCAATATTCTCAGACTTATAGACAAACTAATAGTAGTGCAGCATAATTAAGCTGGTGAGAAAATGCATTATGTTGTCCTCTCCATCTTTAGCACAAACACACAGACACACTGACTTAAATATCCACACCCACCATGCATGTGAACACTGCAATGGTTGGAATGTTACAAGATAGCCTTGGATAATGGAAAATCACTATTTTGCTTGTTTGTTTTTGTATTAGCAAGAAATAAGCAAAGTTGTTTATCATGAACCTTGCTTATGGACTACCTTCACCTCCTATTTTCTTCATTTTATTAATAATTGCATTTTAGGAACTATAAAGTATCTCCATGTCAAAAACCAACAAACAAAAACAAACAAGCAAAGACACTTGTTAGAGTGTTTCATATGGCTGATGTTTAGAAAGAAAAAAAAGAGCAAGTACAATGCAAATACAAGCAAACTACTACCAGTTGGGGCATTAGACAAGAAGTCTATATAACCTTTTAATAAGGTCAGTTGGTCTAAATTTGTGCAAATCTCAAGACATCTCCCCCTTTGATGTCTGGGTTTTACTTACACCACCCACTTGAAACTTTCCTTTCTCTGGTTCTTTTCCTTTCCCTGATCCAATATAAACTTCGAAGGTTAGGGGTCATGTCCCAAGGTGGGAACCCATTTAACTAAATACCTTCCTGGGAAAATAAAGATTAAATTTTAAATAGAGTGAAGAGTAATTTTAGATAGTGTAAATCATGCCCTATAAATTACTTCATGGAGAGAAGATTTAAAGAGCATTTGACAAATCCAGTTACATTCCTTCACTTTTCTATTAAATGCTATACTCTGCACTGTATTGGTTTTACCATTAGTATTTGATTCATAACATGAATCTTTTGACTCTCAGGAGAAGGAATTCTGGAAGCTAGCCATGATCCTTCCCTAGAGCGTGGAGTGTGCTGGCAGCATGTATTTTCCCAGGACCCTCCTCAAGGCCCGCATGACCTCCTTATTCCTCAGGCTGTAGATGAGTGGATTCAGGGCTGGAGTGACAATTGTGTAGAAAACAGAGATGATGTTGTCTTGTCTGGTGCTGTGGAAGGAACTGGGCAAGACATACATGAATGTGGCAGCTCCATAGAACATCCCAACCACAGTCAGGTGGGAAGAGCAGGTGACAAGGGCTTTCTTCCTCCCCTCATTTGATGGCATATGGAGCACAGTGAGTAGAATTTGTGTATAGGAGGCCAGTATAGCAGCAAGAGAGGGAATCAGGAAGGTCACACCCATCACATATACCATGAGCTCATATCTGGAGGTATCAGCACAGGCCACCTTCAGCAAGTGTGGGATCTCACAGAGAAGATGCCTGATCTCCTGGGCCCTGCAGAAGGGATAGTGCATGGTATACACGGTATATATTAGGGCACTTAGGGATGCCAGGATCCAGGACGTGGCCACCATGAGCCAGCAGGCTCTTGAGCTCATGAGGGTCATGTATGTCAGAGGATGACAAATGGCCACATACCTGTCATAGGCCATGAAGGCCAGTAGGAGGTCCTCAGCACCACCCATTGTCAGTGCCAGGAACATCTGAAGGGCACAGCCTCCAAAGGAGATGGTGTTTTCTCTGCGCAGAAAGTCCGCAAGGGCCTTGGGAGTGACAACAGATGTGAACAGGAGGTCCATGAGAGAGAGCTGCCCAAGCAGGAGGTACATGGGCATGTGGAGCCGGGCTTCCATGGTGATAGCCAGGAGCAGTAGGCCATTGCTGATCAGGGCCAACAAGTATAGGATTGTAATTGTAGCACAGAGCAGTTCAGGAGACCCACTGTCATTCAGAATCCCCACCAAAATGAAGCCACTTCCCAAGGTGAAGTTCCAGAGCTCCATGCTGTGGTTTCTTTCATCACCTAGAACAAGATGGATACTTCATGAATTTTTGCTAAGATGAACTCTAGTTTTGAAATATCAGAGGCTTCTTAGGACATGAATCCACTGAGATGTTACCCTTTCCACTGATAACTGACTTTGCCTCTCGATTTCTGAATGTCTGACTTCTCACTGTATTTTGATAAAAGTTCCATCTAAATGGAGAACAGACATCACAGTAATAACTAAACATTAAGAGATCACACATAAAATCTTATTTAGGACATTAAACCTGAACATGTATCTTTCCAAAAGCAAAAAATTATCTTTCTCTTAAGATTAAAGAAATATTCTGCCACACAAATCCTTGATTATCCTTGTAACTATCCAGTTAGTTTTCTTCATAGACTTGTTTTGATATGAAATTCCAAACAGGTACAGAGACTGGTTTTCAATAAAGCACTTTCACTTCTTTTTCCGTAGAACTTACAGCCACATTTGTTTGCAGTACTCAAGGCAGTAGATGAAAGCCTCATTAGTAGGCTAAAACTTGTCCACCTTAGTTACTTCTCTCTTGGCCAGCCCCACGTTCTACAGAAGCTTGAGAGAGAAGGGATAATGGACTGCCTGAGACAAGAGAATGTTGTGTTTGAGAAGATGTTGCATTTAGAGCTAAATACTTTAGGGTCAATACAAATGTGTTTATTTAAAACAGGTTATATTAAGATGTGAGCTTGGAAGGGCTCTGAAATATAACATATGAGGGCTTTCCTAGGAAGATCAGGATGTTTGTGTTTGGGAGAAATGGTGAAAGGGAGCAAGAGAGCATCTATTATATGCTGTAATTATGCTCAATAATTCTATCCCCTCTCCTGCCTTTGACCAGATGTTCACTCTCCCTTCTGCAGGGCCAGAACCTTTAAACTTGGTAGAAGGACCACAGGAATAGGGAGGAACTGCTTTTCCAGAAAGCAGCTGTTGGCATTGTGGTACCCAATCCCATGGAGAAGCCAAGGAGAAGGACAAGGGCCTAAGATTGACAGGAGTCTATGTGCATTGTGAAACTGGATAGATAAAGCCAACTGTGAACATGCAGTTAAAGATTTTGAAGTGAAGCATCCTTTGTCAATCATTTCCCCATATATGGCATCTATGTTTTCATATTTCACTGGTTTCCACTAGCCTCTTATGGGGCCATTAGTACCTTAATGGTTAAAAGGTATAAGAACATGCAATGGACATATCATCACTTTTTAGATGGCCCTTTAGGATATTCATCATCTGATAGATGCAAAAATGCGTTACCGGGAGCCAGCAGAGCACACAGGGTCTAAAGACAAGTATTGCGATTTCCACCAGGAAGCAGATACCCATGCCTGGGCTGTAGCACAGTCCTTATTGGTTCTCTTTTCGGGTTCAGAAAATTAAGAATAGACAAATTGGAACAGGCTATGAAGCCCAAACATTATACTAGGGAATCTGGCAGACCGAGTAGTTCAAGTTCTTAGGGTATGCTTTGGACTCCATTTTTCCTACTCAGCTTACCTAGAGGCACACCTTCCCCTGAAATAAATACAAAGTCCTTACCTCAGGTTGTGAGAAGCTTAGCTGTCCGACCACTCAGACTTTCCTAGGGATTGTTTGAAGTTCAAGGATGTTCCAGTCGAAATGGGAAGAAAGGACGTGGCTTTCTTCAGCAGTGTTCAGTTGGTTTAATATTGCCAAGTTGGGTTAAGTGTCTGAAAAGTACTAGTGAGATCAGATGTCAGGGCCCTTCTATTCCTTCCACTTATCTGCAGGTCTACCCTAGAGATAGCAGTGGATGCAGGCAGACAGCTAATACAGAATTTGGGTAGTTTCCTATATAGGAAGAAGATTACTTTCTTGTTCTCACGCCTGTGAAGAACTAGTAGCAACTACTTTCATACAGGTTGCCAGGGAGAGAGCCCCTCTAGCCCTAGAGCAGTTACCAGACTGAGTTCTTGGGTTCAGATACTCAGACTTTCCTTCATTCTTGCTGGGGTCAGGGAGCAAAGATAAAAGCTGCAGGGTCCTGGAGGAAGTAGATATTGAGTCGATATTGAAAGAGCTGCCCAAAGGAGATTCTGTTGTCCCCTGCCTCACTCTCCCTGGAGCCAAAGGTGAGCCAGAGCCTTGTCCTGAGAGAGGCTGCCCTGTCTTTTGATCCATGATCTCTTCCCTCTATTTTACCCCTATGTTCCGAGGGACTTATCCTCTCAACTCAAATGGCTTCCCTGGAAATGCTGGCCCAAGATCAGGATGACAATTAATCCTCATGGGTGTGTTTCCTGGCCTGGTACTCCTATATTCTTCTTTCACTAAATAAGCTCCTAGGCTCTATGTTTCTATTCCACAAGGGAGGCACTGATAGCTTGTTTCTAAATTAACTAAATAGAGCAGGACACAAAGTCTCCTTATGTGGCCAGCCCTCTGTCCCAGAAAATAAGGTGGCTTTCCTTACTTATGTGGCATGCTGCTTCCTTCTTTATGATCCTTTTACCCTGGACTATCTCCTATTCAATATGACTGCTCCCTGAGGAGTCTGTAAATGTGAGGTCTTCCCCTCATTGACCTTTGGCAATCCAGTATGGCTTATATGTCTTGGTGTTACTGTGTTCTTCCACCAGTGATGCTTAAAGAGTAAATAGACAGTTTTCTAAGTATTGGGCACGAAAACAAAAAGGAATTCATACAGTACTGAACTTGAAGAGTATCAATATCAATGAAAACATTTTATATTCTCCAAGAAATAAAAGACAGATTACCCACTAAGTAAAGACAACTAGATAATAGTGGACTATCAATAGCAGCAATAGGACAAGGGAGAAATATATTCAAAAGTGCTGAGGAAACTTAACTGCACACCTATGATTCCAGGCACAGCTGAGCCATTATTAATGAATTAGGACAAAGTAAAAATGACATTGGAAAGTATTTATCCCCAAACACTCCCAATAAAATAATTTCAGCAAGGAGAAAAGTGGCACCTAGAAAATGTATACAAGGAGAAATAATGAACTTAGAAATTGATTCAATAAGTGAATTGGCTAGTTTAATTCACGAATAATAAAATATGTTTATATTTTTAAAAGAGTAAAACTAAAATTCTTCACAAAAATAATAACATGAGTGGAATTTTCCTATGGGTACTTGAAGTCTGTAGAAGCAGAATATTAAAAGCTTCATCCTCGTTTATTTAACACTATAATTTCCTTTTTTCATTATTCATTAAAGTGCAATCTACATACAGTAAAATTCACCTTTTTTAGTATACAGTTTTACAAGTTTTGACAAATGTATATAGTCTTGAGACCACCACCAAAATCAAGACACAGAAGTTTCATCAGCCACAAGAATTCTCAGGTGCCTGTTTGTATTCCTCCCCTCCCCCTCCCAAGCCCCTGCCAACTGTCTGATCTGTTTACTGTCACTATTATTTTGTCTTTTCCAAAATGTCATATAAATGACATCATACGTTTTGAGCCTAGCTTCATTCACTTAGAATAATATGTTTTAGATTCATCCATATTCTTGTATCTACTAGCAGTCCTTTCTCATTTAATACTGAATAGTACCCAATTGTATGGATCTATCATCGTTTGTTTATCCATTCACCAGTTGAAGGGCATTTCTGTTGTTTCCTATTTTGTTGATTATGAAAAAGCCATCATAAACTTTCATGTACAGGTTTTGACATGAATATAAATTGTCTATTCACTTGGGAAAATACCTCAGAGTAAAACTGATTGGTTATGTGGTAAGTGTATGTCTAGGTTTATAAAACTTTGCCAGACTTTTCCATATTGACTGAACCATTTTGCATTCCCAATTTTATTTCCATTTTGCATTATTTTAAGCTGTAAAGAATAGGCTTTTTAAATTTTAACTCAAAATGGATGAAATATTGCCTGAGGCCTTACATTTCAAGTCTTCCCAATTAACATGCAAAGAAAAAATAAGAGTTTTTTAAAGGAAACAGGATTATTCATGCCAATAAAGAAGGAGGTACAATTCCAAACAGAAAGTCATCTAAGAAAACACATACATGCATACATGCTTAGAGCTGGAGACTGAAAACATTATCACAATTAAGTGCTGTCTACATGGTAACATTGAAAATGTTCTTACAAAATTGCTTAAAAATTTTTTGAGATATGTAAATTATAAAGATTTATTTTATTTACTATGGAATATAGCTTTTAATCTCTAAGCCCTTTTATACTCATTTGTCATCATAGGTAATGATATGAAAATTCCCACTTAACAGTTTATAAAAAATAAAAAAAATCATTTTCTTTGTCAGACACGTGAGTCATAAACTTTGAGTCATAAAGTCTTTGTGTCAAAATATAATTTTTGGAAAGCTACAAATATGATGCCCACAAATATAGAATGATATATATGTTAACTTAATAAGAAAGTTTGCGAGATAGTAAATCTGATTCAAAAGGCATTTGAAGAATAGTTAATGTTAGAACATGTCTATCTTGTTGAAATATATAAGATTACAAGAAATCTTCATTCTGTTGATATGATGTATCACCTTGTTTGATGTGTATGCTGAACCATCCTTTTATCTGTGGGCCACCTTAACCATTTTTAAGGTGTACAGTTCAACAGCATTAAGTACACTCATATTGTTGTGTTGCCATCACCACCATCCATCTTCAGAACTTTTTTTTTTTTTTTTTTTTTGAGATGGAGTCTCACTCTGTCATCCAGACTGGAGTGCAATGGAATGGTCTCAGCTCACTGCAACCTCCGCCTTGCAGGTTCAACCGATTCTCCCACCTCAGCCTCCTGAGTAGCTGGGACTACAGGTGCGTGCCACCACACCTGGCTAATTTTTCTTTTATATTTTTGGTAGAGACGGGGTTTCACTATGTTGACCAGGCTGGTCTCGAACTCCTGACCTCGTGGTCCGCCCGCCTCAGCCTCCCAAAGTGCTGGGATTACAGTCGTGAGCCACCGCGCCCAGCCTGCTGTTTTTTAGAACAAGAAAAATTGTGGTATTAACAAATTTTAGGAGACTGAATCAAACACTCAGTTTTGGATTAAAAGTGAAGTGCTTACTAGCCATCCAGGCAGAAAGGTCACATCAGCAATTAGCTAAATGAGTTTGTGCTTCAGAGGAAGTCATGTCCTTGGGAGTTGATATGTATTTAAACCTATGGGATGATGAAATTGCCAGAGAATATTGAATGAGAAGGAAAGGAGGCTTGAATGGAGCCACAAGCCACTTCAATATTTAGATGTCACGTTGAAGAGAAGAAGTTGGCCAAGTAAAGACTGAATCCAGTGGAGTACTTAGAAAACCTGTTGGTTGTAGTGGCCTGAGAGTAAAAAATGATGCTCCCAAAAGGAGAGAATGATCCAATTCTGTCAAACGTGGCTGAATGTGTGAGCAGGATGAAGATAAAGAAGTGATACTGAGTTTGGTATCACTTCTTTATCTTCATCCTGCTCACACATTCAGCCACGTTTGACAGAATTGGATCATTCTGAAGCTGGAAACCATCATTCTCAGCAAACTATCGCAAGGACAAAAAACCAAACACCGCATGTTCTCACTCATAGGCGGGAATTGAACAATGAGAACACTGGGACACAGGAAGGGGAACATCACACACCGGGGCCTGTTGTGGGGTGGGGTGAGTGGGGAGGGATAGCATTAAGAGATATACCTAATGTAAATGACGAGTTAATGGGTGCAGCACACCAACATGGCACATGTATACATATGTAACAAACCTGCACGTTGTGCACATGTACCCTAGAACTTAAAGTATAATAAAAAAAAAAAAAAAAAAAAAAAAAAATATATATATATATATATATATATATATATATATATATATATATATATATATGAAGTGATACTGAGTTTGGTGTAGGAACATTATTGCTGAATCTGACAAGCACAATTGCAGTAATGTGGTGCTGAGGGCAGAGAAGACTGATTACAGTGGCATGAGCCATAGATGGTAGAAAAGGATGTGGAAACTTTGGGTTTAGACACATCTTTCAAGGTGATTTGCTGTGAGAATTGGGGGAACTGTAAGGGAAATGTAATTTAGACAGAAGACTTCCCTTAGATAGAAGATATTGGAGCATGTGTGTAACCTATAGTAATTTTCCAGTAGAGAGATGATGTAGAAGAGAATCAGGTAATTGCAAGACCAATTTCTTTGGGTATTAAGAGAATAATATATGAAGAGCATTAGTGGAGGATTTGGCCTCTTATAGGCATTTTCAAAGATGAAAAGCTATGTGAAGATGTATGGTAAATTGGTAGTGGAAAATGAGGAAGTCCTGTATGATTGCTTCTGGTTTTCCATTGATGTATGAGGCAATTTCAGAAGCTGAGAGTGAAGGTATAAAATGGTATTTTCAGAGAATAAGAAAGAGGTTGTATTAGGGCTGTGCAAGACACTGTGTTCTTGGTGCAGAAGACTGAATATTGCAAAGAGCCAACATTCCCAAATTAATTTATGAGTTAAATATAACCACAATGATTATAATAATGGGATTTTTTTGACATTTGGCAGATGAATGAAAAGCTTATCAGAAATAACAGGTAATAAAACATAATGAAAGGTCAGTGATGAGAAACAGAAAAGGAGAGCCTTGAGAGACTACTGGAACTAGAGAGCTAGCTCAGAAAAACTCTTCATTACTATATGTATAAGAAGTCAGTATATGGTCAAGCAATTACAATAAATAATAATATATTTTTAAAGGTTACTAAAAATGCTAACAAGAAAATATTTGAAAACATAATAAAGTCTCAACATACATAATACAGCTAAATAATTTGGAGATGAAATAAAAAGTTAAATATCATTAACAAAATTTTTAAGCATATGTAAAAGAAAGATATGTAAGTATTTTCTGAAATAAGAATGAAAATTTTAAGAGTAAAATTCTCTGAAAATTTTAAAGAATAATATAGATTTTTATAACTACATAAATATTGTGATACTTCCCTATCTAACAAATCCTACCATGTAGCTAAATTAAAAAACTGAAAAAAATTGCCACATACATAAGTGTTAAATTACTTGTGACTTTCATCTATAAAGATCTGCACAACATCATTATAAAAAACGAAATAATGTAAATTAAAACATCTGTTTTATTTCCTTGAAGTATTTAATAAATTAGCAAAGATAAGACAGAATTAGAAATAACATAGTAAGGCGGGCATTCTCACATAATGCTAGCCAGAAAACAAAGTGTTTCTAACTTTCTGAAAACCAATTTGGCTCTTTGTAATAAGAATTTTAAATAGAGTCTTGATCTTTATCACAGTAATTTCACTTTTAGAAATTTGATCTAAGATAAAATTAGACCCTCATATAAGAATATTTGGAGGAGTAAAACTAAATGTCAGCAAATGCCTACATATATGCTAGAGAACTCATCTGATAAAATATTATATAATCATTAAAATGAAGTTTTTCCTAGACACATACAACCTACCAAGACTGAAACATTTAACAAAGAACTAATGCTGATCTTTCTCAAAATCTTTCAAAAAAAATTAAAAGGAGAGTGTACTTCCCAGCTCATTTTACAAGGCCAGTATTACCCTGATACCAACACCAGAGAAGAACAATACAAGAAAAGAAAATTACAGGCCAATATCTCTGATAAGCATAGATGCAAGACTCCTCAACCAAATACCAGCAAACAAAATTCAACAGCCTATTAAAAGGATCATTCACCATGATCAACTGGGATTTATCCCAGTGATGCAAGGATGACTTAATATATGCAAATAAATGATATAATACACCACATTTATAGGCTAGAGGACAAAAACTGTATGATCATCTTGATATATGCAGAGAAGACATTTTATAAAATTCAACATCTTTTCATGAGAAAAACTCAACAAATTACATATTGAAAGAATGTACCTCAACATAATAAAGGCCATATATTACAAGCCCACATCTGACATCATACTTAGTGGAGAAAAGTTGAAATCTTTCCTCCAGTATCAGGAAAAAGACAAGCATGCCCACTCTTGCCATTTGTATTCAACATAGTACTGGAAGTCCTGGCCAGGGCAATCAGGCAAAAGAAAGAAATAGGCATTCAAGTTGGAAAGAAAAAAGTAAATTTTCTCTATTTGTAAATGCTCATTTATATAAAAAACCCAAAATACTAAAAAAAACTGTTAGAACTAAAAAATTCAGTAAGGTTGCAAGATACAAAATCAATGTATAAAAAGCACTTGCATTTCTATAGACTAAAAATGAACTATCTGAAAAGGAAATTAAGGAAATGATCCCATCCGCAATAGCCACAACATAAAATAATAAATTAATTAAAGATAAAATAAATGATAAAAAAGATTAAAGATAGCCACAAAATAAAATAATAAAACAAATTAAAATACTTAAAAATAAATTTAACCAAGGATGTGAAAGATTTGTACACTGAAACTATAAAACATTGATGAAGGAAATTGAAGGAGATACAGAAAATGGAAATATATCCCACGTTCATAAATTGGAAAAATTAATATTGTTAAAATATCCATACTACCAAAAGCAATCTATAGCTTCAATTCAATCCTTACAAAAATTTCAATGACATTCTATACAGAAATATAAAATACAATTATAAAATTCATATGGAATCACAAAAGACCCCAACTAACAGAAGCAATCTTGAGCAAAAAGAACAAAGCCAGAGGCATCACATTACCTGATTTCAAAATATGCTTGCAAAACTATAGTAATGAAAACAGGATGATAGCATAAAAACCTACACATACACCAATGGAATAGAATGAAATAGAGACCTATAAATCAATCCATACAGCTTTGGTCAATTGATTTTTGACAAAGGTGCCAGGAAAACATAACGGGGAAAGAGCAGTTTTTTTGGTAAGGAGTGTTAGAAAACGTAGACATCCACATGCAGAAAAATGAAATTAGACCCTATCTTATACCACATACAAAAAACTCAACTCAAAATGGGTTAAAGACTTAAATGTAAGGCCTGAAACTGTAAAACTACTAGAATAAAATATAGGAGAATAGATCCATGACATTGGTCTGAGCAAAGATTTTTTTAATATGACCCCAAAAACACAGGGAAAAATAGGCAAATGGGACTACATCAAACTAAAATGCTTCTGCACAGCAAAGGAGACAATTATGAAAGTGATAAGACAACCTATGGAATGAGAGAATATATTTGCAAACCATACATTTGATAAGAGATTTAAACCAAAATATGTAAGAAACTCAATAGTAAGAAAACAGTCTGATTAAAGAATGAGCGGCTGGGCGCGGTGGCTCACGCCTGTAATCCCAGCACTTTGGGAGGCCAAGGCGGGCAGATCACAAGGTCAGGAGATCGAGACCATCCTGGCTAACATAGTGAAACCCCGTCTCTACTAAAAATACAAAAAATTAGCCGCACGTGGTGGCGGGCGCCTGTAGACCCAGCTACTTGGGAGGCTGAGGCAGGAGAATGGTGTGAATCTGGGAGGCAGAGTTGCAGTGAGCCAAGATCGCACCACTGTACTCCAGTCTGGGCAACAGAGGGAGACTCCGTCTCAAAAAAAAAAAAAAAAAAGAATGAGGAAAGAAAATCAAAGACATTTCTCAAGAGAGGACATAAAAATGGCCAACAAGTATATGAAAAATGTTCAACATTACTAATCATCAGGAAAATGCAAATCAAAACCACAATGAGATATCACTTCCCATCTGTTAGAATGGCTATCATCAAAAGGACAAAAGATAACAAGTGTTGGCAAAAATATGGAGAAAAGGGCACACTTAAACAATGTGGGTGAGAATGTAAATTGGTACAGACATTAGGGAAAGCAGTATGGAGGTTCCTTAAAAAAATAAAAATAGAACTACCATATGATCCAGCAATACTACTACTGGGTATATACCCAAAGGATAGGAAATCAGCATGTGGAGGAGATATCTGCACTCTCATGTTAATAGCATCCTTATTCTCAATAGCCAAGCTATGAAATCAACCTAAGTGTCCATCAACTGATGAATGAATAAAGAAAATGTCATATATATGTGTGTGTATATATATATATACACACACACACACACACACACACACACACACACACACACACATTGGAATACCACTTAGCTTTTTTTAAAAAAAGGAAATGCTATAGTTTGTGACAACATAGATGAACTTGGTGGATATTATGTCAAGTAAAGCAAGCGAAACTCAGAAAGAAAGATACTACATGTTCTCTTCATATGTGGAATCTAAAAGGGTTGAACTCACAAAAGCAGAGAGTACAATGGTGGTTACCAGGGGACAGTAGAGGTGCAGGACATTGGGAAGATGTTGGTCATGGGATACAAAACTTCAGTTATACGGGAAGGGTAAGTTTAAGAGATCTATTGTACAACATAGTAACTACAGTTAGTAGCCATGTATTATATTCTTGAAATTGTTCACAGTATATTTTAGTGTACTTACCACACAAAAAAGATAAATGTATGAGGCAATGCCAATGTTAATTAGCTCAATTTATCCATTCTACAATGTATACCTATTGCAAAACGTCATGTGGTACACGATAAATATATACAATTTTTACTTTTCAACTAAAAATTTTTAAAGGAACCTATTACAAAAATGAGAGGAATTTAGAGAAATAGTATGAAAGAAAAGGAAAACCTAGGGATTATTTTCTGAGCAGAGAAGTCATGATCATCTTTGAAAGCTAAACCAAAGGATTGAGAGAGGGATTAGGATACAAGAAAAATACATAAATGAAGGAGTAAAGGCAGAGAGAATAGGGAATGAAGATGTAAAAGGAGGAATCTCAGTAATAATTGGAGAAGGCAACCCTAAAGTGGAGAAGGAGAACTTACTCCTCTGAAATAAAAGGCTGAGGAGTAAAAATAGTTCCTATATAAGACAATGAAAAGGTGTAAGAAAGTTTTCATCTGAGAAACTTAATCATCTGTGATCTTTACTTTTACCTATGAAATAGAAAGAAAGGTTGAATGTCAGGTATGTAGGGACTAATTGATTATTACCATAAACTCAGCTCCCAGAATGCAAGCTAGGACCTTGATAATATCCTCACCTTCCCATAAGGTCATGAAACAGTGAGAGAAATCTAATGTAGCTGATGCCATCTTACTTCTGACCTCACAAGCTAACTGCCTTTGCTCATTCCTACTGTGGACCAAGCCAATCACAAAAAGAATTTAGATTATACTTTAACTTTAGAACTAATGACTCTCTCACTTTTGAAACAGACCCCCAAGGAGGTAAGGAAGTATGCATACAAGTAACAATGATTAAAGATTTATAGAAACAAGGTGGACTTGACAAGTAGTTGACCATGAACAAAGAAGTTTTGCCACCTCCTCAGACCTTTGCTGATGCCCAGACATCTGTGTTCACCAGTCACCTCCTGGTCTTAGCCCCATCCCTTTTCCCCCTCCCTCTAACATAAAAGGAGCCTAAAAATTAATCAACTTTAGATAGTTCTTTAGGATGTTAGTCCACCATCTTCTCAGTTTGCTGGCTTTCTGAAATAAAGTTGTCTTCCTTGCCCCAACACCTTTTCTCTCCACTTATTGGCTGTCGTGTGGCAAGTAGTAGAAGATTTGGACTCGACCACATTTAGCAGTCCAGCTCTCTGCCTCCTTTCACTATAACTATTAACGCAAATTTCATGTCCATCATTTTCTTTCTTCATTTATATGTAGTTTTATTGAATGTACACATATTTATAGGAAGTTTATTTTCACTTAAGTTCTTAACACTGCAAAAGAAGTACCACGATATATAATCCTAAGGTGTCTCTTGCTTCCCTTAATATTAGTTTCCTAAGTTGCTTTTTTTGTTGTATGCTCTGGTTCCTTTGTTTAGATTCCTACATAGTAACCCTTTGGTGCATATCTATCTATTCCACTGTTGATGGGCATAAAGGTCGTTTCTAATTTTTATTGTACTGTGAATAATGCTGCTCTTATAATTTACATGTTTAAAACCGTCTTTTCAGTACATTCCTTTTATAATTAAAAAATAAAAAGATTTTTATATTAGTTCTTCTGTTGCACTTCTGAAATAATTTTGAGTATATATTTTATATAAACAGAAAGTGGAAACTTATTTTTATTTTTTTTAAGTTCAAAGAGAAAAGATATGATAACTCCGGAAGAAATTTTCAGCATTTCCTGGTGAAATGGCTGATTAAAGAGATACTAAAGAATGAGGAAGATTAAGCACAGAATTGGGTGAGAGATGGGAAAGCCTGAACTAAAAGCAGAAGTGAGTGCAAGCAGGTGCTGTGTCATCATCCCAAAGCTCTGAGCAGCTCAGCTGACTGATCACAGAATATGTAGGCCCATGAACAAATGAACACACACAAGAGGGAGTAGAAAGGAGAAACAAAGAACTGAAAAATAAATTAGTGCTGGATCCTCATTAAAGCTCAGTGAAGGAAGACCTGATATTAACAGAAGCATAGTTAACTCCCTCTAGTTGGTAATAGCCCAGGCTAGTGGCACAAAGAGGGATATGTGAGTGGCAGCATCTATAGAACCCATGAGACAGACTTTATATTTTGGACAGAGGGCTGGACAGGGAGGTGTTGCTTTTCAGATTGGTTACTGACACTATCTATTTTGTCAGAAACAGCCTCTGTCTGGTTTTCCGGTCAGTGATTTCTAGGTTAAAATTATAGTTTTGGTTTTGTAAGGCAGGAGAAAGATCTTAGACTCCAATGAGTGGTGAGACACAGCAAGCCCATGGCGGGCAGAACAAGGCCTCAAGGTTCAGAGCTCATTTGGTGGTAAAGTTTGAAGAAATGGCAGGCCAGGAGACATGCCCAAGGGGATTTATTAAAATCCCATTTCCTGGAGCAATATTTTCAGGGGAGGTCATGTCAGCTGAGAGGGTGAGACTATGAACCCTCCCCCAGGACAGGCCTCACTGTTGGCGCAGAGACAGTAAGGCTGGGCATTGGTGGGTCTCTTTTAAGCAGCTCTTCTTATACCTCTTTTCTCACATTCCTGCTGTGCTCCTCTTTTATCATGAAACACAGCATGAGGGGAATATATGAAATCTGAGGACCTGGACTTAAGAACTCAGCTAGAACCATTCCAAAGCAGTAAGGACTTTCTCGCAAGGACAGTGAATGAGAGAACTTTGGAAGAGATTCAGCTCCTCACTTCTGCAGGATCCTGCCCTAGGTTCTCAGCTGCCTGTCTGCATCTATCTCTACTTCCAGAGAGGACTTGCAGTGCCAGTGACTGGAGGAGCCTTTGATCTCTGATCCTAGAGACAGCCATACACACACCTACATTCATCCTGGCCAGAAGAAGCAACTTTTCTTTCTTTGGCTTCTTGAACCTCTTTACCTGGAAGCTATGCCCCTTCCCATATGAGGTAAGGGCTCTGTCTCCGTTTCAAGGCAATATGGGAAGTCTGGAAGTCCTGAGAAACAGGGTCAAGACCTTACACTGCTCTCCTTCTCAGATTCTCTAGTTCCTCAGGCTTTATGATTCACTCACTCCCATCTATATCTTATCAACCTTGTACATGTACCCATCTTGCACATGTAGGAACAACCAAAATAATTCTATGCCATTGGCCAGCCGTGAGTTCCTAGAATTCCTGATGATGGCCTCCTGGTAAAAGTCTCAGTACTTACCTTTGTTACATCTAGATTTTCCTGGCCTCCAGTAGTTTGATGTGAGTCCCCAAATGAATAGTACCTCAAAGGAGGACTATCTAAAATATGCTGAAGTGCCTTTCCCCTGCAGGACTGCTTGGCGCTAAGTCCAGTGCCACACAAAAAGCCAAATGAAGTAAATACAAAAAATAAATATACTGAGCAGAGATGAAAAAGAAAAACTTATAAAATATACTTCCAAAAATTTAGCTCTACCTTGTTAATTGACTGACCATTTTCCATAAACTATAGCAATGCCTCTTAATATCAGCCTCTGCTGACTTCTCTTGGTTTGAAATACCCGCAACCACCAGCAGTTTTCCAGAATGAAGCTCTTCCTCTGTAGGCCCAGTGTGTGTTCTCTGGCCTTTCCCTTTAGATGACCCCAGAGAGAACTCAGTAAATGGAAAGAAGGGAAAACAATAGTCCCGTATCAGAGGGAGGAGGTAGGTATGTAGGATCCTGAGTCCTGGTTACACCACCTTACCCAAGCCCTGATTTTTCTTCTCTTTGAAATCCTGTCCAAACATCTGGTGCAGGAAGCTAGAAGAATGTGCCCAGCTAATTATGTTCCTCCTTTTATTTACCTGTCCATTCATCTTTTTATTCAAGAAAAATGAAGGCATTTCAAATCTAATATTTAGCAGAAATAGTGCTTAGAATTGACTTTGGACTTGTGTTTTTGTTGTCAACAGACAAATAAGGTTTTCCGGTCAGTGGGTCAGTGGTTCCTAGGTTAAAATTATAGTTTTGATTTTGTAAGGCAGGAGAAAATTCTTAGACTACATTGCGTGGTGAAACACAGTTTTATACAGGGTATTTTTCTGGGGGTTTCTTGTCCAGACTTCACTGGGCAAAAGTGCAAGGAGGACATTCATGTACTGTATTTTAAGGTTCTGACTTTCACGGTACCATCCCTCACTTTTTTTTTTTTAATTATATCCTGACCCATTTTGATTTAGCCACCTCCTATTTATCCTCAGCCTTTAGTCTGTATACCACTTCCTTGGTGAATCCTTTCCTGAAAACTCACTTATATGTTCTCCTAGTGTATTTTCTTTCATGTATTTTTTTTTCACTGGATGTATGTAGGTGTTTGTGGGATCGATTTTTCACATCTACACAGTTGCCCAAGTGCAGTGCCTGAGATATCATAGGTCCTTAGTAAATATTTATTGAATGAATGAAAGGAGCAGGATCAGATGCGCCTTCCAATGTCAGGTTTTTGTATGACCTTACCACTTAAAGGTTCTAACTCTGAGTTGACCAGGATAGGGACATAAATGGATAGTTGGAGAAGTAGGTGCAGATTATGGAAGGGAAAGATGAATAATTTGATCAAGAATTATTTGTCTCTTCCAAAAGGCCTCCTAAGTCTTCCATCCGACTGTGAAAAAACTGCATTCACAAAAAGCGAGCCAAGTGAACGCTGTCCCACATGGACCTCACACTCCACTCCTCCTCCCCAACCCCTAGCAGCAGAGCTATCATATGGATTCAGGGTTCAGCAGAAACACCATTTTCCTTGTATTCCTAAGATTTGTGGGGAGAAATCTTCTTCTCACCTTGTGTGTGTTGCTGTGGCTCACAGGTAACGCTATTGCTTTGGGCCGTTTCTACAATGTCTCCTCCTTTGTAGCTCACCCCTTGTATCATGTGCCCTAAACACAAACACCTGCCATGCCACCACAAATCTCATGTATTGCCTTTATTCCTGCCTGTTTCTGAGAAAACATCTTATTATCTCAGCAAACACCTTTTGTACTGTTCCTCTAGATTTACCTCTAGAATCGATACCGCCATGACTGTTAAATTCAGCCCAGAATTCTCTTTCCCTCCAGCAGAGCAGCACTTGAAGAGTCCAGGTGATCAAGCAGCCCAAGAACCCAGAGATTCTCCTACTGAGGAAAGTAATCAACAACAATGAGACTGGTTTAAGGGAGAAGACAGCAAAGAGGTTTTTTATAAATAAAATTTTAAAAACTGAATTGGAATTCCAACTACATTTTAAGCAGAAAAATAGCTAGATCTTAAACCAATCCCCAGTATATTTGTTCATTGTGAAGAAAGAGATGCTTTCATCTATCTACAAAGATGTTTGCTTGGGCTTATTCTTCAGGATACCTTATTTGAAGGGATTTCTAAATGATTACTATTAACAACATGTCAAAATACCTGATACCAGTTTAGCTGATGGTTTATTTCAATAAAAGCATTCAGAAATCAGAGGCATACTAAGAAATGGAAAATATATCATATTATGGGATTCCTATTGGCCAATGCACAGTGACCTAGAACAATCCAAAGCTAGAGTGAACACCTTTAGAAAAGCTTCCACTGATAATATATTTGGTTCTAGGCAACTAAAAAAACACATCATGGAGCTCCGGAACTCCACCTTGGGAAGCGGCTTCATCTTGGTGGGGATTCTGAATGACAGTGGGTCTCCTGAACTGCTCTATGCTACATTTACAATCCTATACATGTTGGCACTGACCAGCAATGGTCTGCTGCTCCTGGCCATCACCATAGAAGCCCGGCTCCACATGCCCATGTACCTCCTGCTTGGGCAGCTCTCTCTCATGGACCTCCTGTTCACATCTGTTGTCACTCCCAAGGCCCTTGCGGACTTTCTGCGCAGAGAAAACACTATCTCCTTTGGAGGCTGTGCACTTCAGATGTTCCTGGCACTGACAATGGGTAGCGCTGAGGACCTCCTACTGGCCTTCATGGCCTATGACAGGTATGTGGCCATTTGTCATCCTCTGAAATACATGACCCTCATGAGCCCAAGAGTCTGCTGGATCATGGTGGCCACATCCTGGATCCTGGCATCCCTGATTGCTATAGGACATACCATGTACACTATGCACCTCCCTTTCTGTGTGTCCTGGGAAATCAGGCATCTGCTCTGTGAGATCCCACCCTTGCTGAAGTTGGCCTGTGCTGATACCTCCAGGTATGAGCTTATAATATACGTGACAGGTGTGACTTTCCTCTTGCTCCCCATTTCTGCCATTGTGGCCTCCTACACACTAGTCCTATTCACTGTGCTTCGTATGCCATCAAATGAGGGGAGGAAGAAAGCCCTTGTCACCTGCTCTTCCCACCTGATTGTGGTCGGGATGTTCTATGGAGCTGCCACATTCATGTATGTCTTGCCCAGTTCCTTCCACAGCCCCAAACAAGACAACATCATCTCTGTTTTCTACACAATTGTCACTCCAGCCCTGAATCCACTCATCTACAGCCTGAGGAATAAGGAGGTCATGCGGGCCTTGAGGAGGGTCCTGGGAAAATACATACTGCTGGCACATTCCACGCTCTAGGGAAGGATCATGGCTTGCCTCTCACCATTCCTCCTCCAGATAAAATTCTCTACTCACTCATTCCTGCTCCAAATAAAATTCTCTACTCACTCATTCTTCAATACTGTACTCTGAGATGATAGATACATTTTTTAAATTTTACTTTTATTTTCAACTGTGAATCTGGTGTGTACAATGATCTTGAGTTAAACTCATTTGGCACACATCATCCTGACTTTGGAAACCCATGTTATAAAAATAACCAGATGGGGGAAAAGCCTTGAATGGGTGTTGTAGACTCACTCTGTGGTAGGCATCGTCCTGACACATTACCAAGTAGACATGGTAGGGGATTAGCTTTCCATTTTAACATCACATAGCAGTGAGAAGCAGCAGTAGTTTTGGACTGACCAAATTCCAATAGCCTCTCAGCATCAGAGGAGGACTACTCCCTTTGAAGCAGATTCTTAAACTACTAATAGAGGGAAGAATTTTCAGAAGATATATTAGACTTCCTGTTTATTAAGTAGATGATTATTTGAGCAGTTAGTGGAAATGAATAAGAGTTATGTGACTGCATTTGTACTCTAGACCTAAGGGACCTTCACATTGGTTACTTGAGTAATGATAAATAATTACATTGAAAGAGTGTGGCCAGGCGCAGTAGCTCACGCCTGTAATCCAAGCACTTTGGGAGGCTGAGGTGGGCAGATCACCTGAGGTAAGGAGTTCAAGACCAGCCTGGCCAACGTGTGGAACCCGGGTCTCTACTAAAAATACAAAAATGAGCGGGGCATAGTTGTGGGTGCCTGTAATCCCAGCTACTCGGGAGGCTGAGGCAGGAGAATTGCTTGACCCTGGGAGGCGGAGGTCGCAGTGAGCTGAGATCGCGCCACTGCACTCCAGCCTGAGCAACAGAGAGAGACTCCGTTTCAATAAATAAATAAATAAATAGAAAGAAAGAATGGAAAAGGATAAAGAAAGATATTTCTACTTGGAAATTTTGACAGTCTTTTTGAAAATGGGCATTTTTACATTGCCTAAAATTAAAACTAAAATAAAGAATGAATAAAATAGAATTGAAAGTACCAGTTTTAAAGTGAGTACAATAACAATGAGAGAAATTTGTTGGGAATATTGTCTAAGTTTTTTAAAATGTGGACTTGCAGATATGTGAATGTGTTTTTAAACATTAAAACAATTGAAAGAGGTTATATTCTTGAGGTGAGTGTATGTACATGTGTGTTTCCATAGAAAAGGAAGTATAAAATTTATAATTTGCTTTCTAGCTAGCCTAAATAAGCCTTATTTTTTTTATTCTACTCATCAGTGTGGGAAGATTTATAGCAAAATTTGGGAACTTAAATTTGTTGAATGCAGAATTCCCAAAATATCTTGGCTTACATAGGTGTTATTATTCTTGAGAATAGTGCTTTGTCAAAACACAATAATTCTTGTTTTCTTTATAGAAATAATATTACATTATTTAATCTATAAAGCTAAACCATAAAAAATAAAAGATAAAGCTAATCTATAAAATTAATCCAACTTTGTTATAAAAACTGAGAAAATTAAAAAAATTAGAATAAATCAAAAATCACTTATAAATTTTTCTTTTTTGTTGCACATATATGCATTTTACTGAATTTAAATGTCCATGATGATGAAGGTCCTGTGTTTTTTCCATTTGAAATTTGGTGAATCTTCTTCCTTGCTATGAGGGAATATTTTAGAGTAGTGATGAGAAAGCAGACCAGAGTGCCCGCATTTGAATCCCTCTCTTCCTTTGGTCATCTATGCATCTTTGAACGCTAAATTAAACTCTTTGTACCTTAGTCTGCTGATGTTAAAAGTGGTGATATTTACTGGCCTGCTCTTGTGATATTGTTGGGTAGATTAAATAAGATAATTAATATCAGGTACTGAGACCACAGCTTAGTAAACTGTGCTTAAAACATTTTGGCTGCTATATGGATAAATAGTAAAAAGCCTTTTTAAAAAATCTTATTTTATTATTTCCTTTTAGAAATGAAACATTTGTTTATTATTTTTATTGACAAAATATGTATGTCTTAATGTAGTAAAACATGATGTTTTGAAATATGTATACTTTATGGAATTGCTAAATCAAGCCAACTAACATATGCTTTACTCCACATACTTATCTTTTTTGCATTAGGAAAAGTTAAAATCTACTTTCTCAGCAATTTTCAAGCACACAATATAATCTGATTAACTATAATTGCCATGATCTACAATAAATCTCTTGAACTTATTCCTCCTGTCTAACTGAAGTTTTGTGTCCTTTCACCAGCATCTCCCAAATCCCCCTACCTCAACATTTGGTAACCACCATTTTACTCTCTGTTTCTGTAAATTCAGCTTACAGGTTCTGCATATAAATGAGATCATGTGATATTTTTCTTTCTATACCTGGCTTATTTCACTTAAAATAATGTTCCCCAGATTCATTCATGTTGTTGGAAATTATACGATTTCCTTCTTTTTTAAAGAAGGTAAGACTTTCTATTCTGAGTGTGTGTGTGTGTATCTATCTATATCTATATCTATATCTATATATATATATCACATTTTTTAATCCATTCATTCATTGATGGACACTTAGGTTGATTCCATAGCTTGGCTATTGAGAATAATGCTGCAATGAACACAGTAGTGCAGATATCTCTTAAACATACTAATTTTATATTCTTTGGGTGTACACTCAGATTGGGATTGCTGGATCATACAGTAGTTCTATGTTTAACTTTTTGAGGAACTTCCATACTGCTTAAATTGGTACAATGTAAAATGTACCAATTTACATTTCCACCAACAGTGTGCAAAAGCTCCCTTTTTTCCATTTCCTAACCAACACTTTTCATATCTTGTTTTTTGGATAATAGCCAATCTAAAAGACGGAAGGTGATATCTCATGTAAGGTGATATCTCATTTGATTTCCATTTCCCTGAAGATTATGAATCTTAAGAACCTTTTCATATACATGTTGGCCATTTTTATGTCTTCTTTTAAGAAATGTCAATTTAGGTTCTTTCCCCATGTATTACTCAGGTTATTCCTGCTATTGAGTTGAGTTCCTGATATATTTTGGATATTAACCCTTTATTAGATGTATGATTCAAAATATTTGTATCCGTTCTATAGGTTGTCTTTTCACTCTAATGATTATTTCCTTTGCTATGCAGAAGCTTCACTGTATAAATGCAGCATATCACATTTACTGTTTTGCACACGTTGAACCATCCTTGCATCCTCGAAGTAAATCCCAGATTGATCATTGTGAATGATCTTTTCAATGTTCGGTTGAGTTTGGTTTGGTCATATTTTTGTTGAGAATTTTTGCATCTATGTTCATTAGATGAATTGGCCTGTAATTTTGTTTTCTTGTAGTGTCATTCTCTGCCTTTGGTATCAGAGAAATACTTCCAAAGTAGGCAGAGACAGCATGAATTCAAAGACAATTTTCAGGCAAGGGAAAACAATTACAAACAGTTCTTCTTTTTTTTTTTTTTTACTTTAAGTTCTAGGGTACATGTGCGCAACGTGCAGGTTTGTTACATAGGTATACATGTGCTATGCTGTTTTGCTCACCCATTAACTCGTGATTTACATTAGGTATTTCTCCTAATGCTATACCTCCCCCAGTTCCCCACCCCACGACAGGTCCCAGTGTGTGATGTTCCCCGCCCTGTGTCCATATGTAGTCATTGTTCAATTCCCACCTATGAGTGAGAACATGTGGTGTTTGGTTTTCTGTCCTTGTGATAGTTTGCTCAGAGTGATGGTTTCCAGCTTCATCCATGTCCCTGCAAAGGACAAGAATTCATCCGTTTTTATGGCTGCATAGTATTCCATGGTGTATATGTGCCACATTTTCTTAATCTAGTCTATCATTGTTGGACATTTGGGTTGGTTCCAAGTCTTTGCTATTGTGAATAGTGCTGCAGTAAACATATGTGTGCATGTGTCTTTATAGTCACATGATTTATAATCCTTTGGGTATATATCCAGTAATGGGGTCACTGGGTCAAATGGTATTTCTAGTTCTAGATCCTTGAAGACTCGCCACACTGTCTTCCACAATGGTTGAACTAGTTTACACTCCCACCAACAGTGTAAAAGCATTCCTATTTCTCCACATCCTTTCCAGCACCTGTGGTTTCCTGACTTTTTAATGATCACCATTCTAACTGGGGTGAGATGGTATCTCATTGTGGTTTTGATTTGCGTTTCTCTAATGACCAGTGATGATGAGCATTTTTTGATGTGTCTGTTGGCTGCATAAATGTCTTCTTTTGAGAAGTGTCTGTTCATATCCTTTGCCCCCTTTTTGATAGGGTTGTTTGTTTTTTTCTTGTAAATTTGTTTAAGTTCTTTGTAGATTCTGTATATTAGCACTTTGTCAGATGGGTAGATTGCAAAATTTTTCTCCCATTCTGTAGGTTGCCTGTTCACTCTGATGGTAGTTTCTTTTGCTGTGCAGAAGCTCTTTAGTTTCATTAGATCCCATTTGTCTATTTTGGCTTTTGTTGCCATTGCTTTTGGTGTTTTAGTCATGAAGTCCTTGCCCATGCCTAGGTCCTAAATGGTATTGCCTAGATTTTGTTCTAGGGCTTTTATGGTTTTAGGTCTAACATTTAAGTCTTTAATTCACCTTGAATTAATTTTTGTATAAGGTGTAAGGAAGGGATCCAGTTTCAGCTTTCTACATGTGGCTAGCCAGTTTTCCAAGCACCATTTATTAAATAGGGAATCCTTTCCCCATTTCTTGTTTTTGTCAGGTTTGTCAAAGATCAGATGTTTGTGGATGTGTGGTATTATTTCTGAGGGCTCTGTTCTGTTCCATTGGTCTTTATCTCTGTTTTGGTACCAGTACCATGCTGTTTTGGTTACTGTAGCCTTGTAATATAGTTTGAATTCAGGTAGCATGATGCCTCCAGCTTTGTTTTTTTGCTGAGGAACAATCAGTTTATCTTAATGTGGGTTCCCTCAGAATTTGATTCTGAGCAAGAATTTGAATACGTAATATATTTAGGAAGTAATTCCAGGAAAAACTAGTAGAATTTGCAAGAGGGAAACAGACAAAGAAAAGACTCAATAACGAGTGAGTTGTCTTATTGTGGGCAACTGATTCCTAATCTTCTTAAGGAATTCTTGGAAAGAGTAGAACATGTATCTCAGAGGTATACCTCAACTACGATGTAAGAGATTGTGTAGGCCATTCTTACATTGCTATAAAAAATACATGAGATTGGGTAATTTATAAAGAAAGGCTTAATTGGGTCACAGTTCTGCAGGCTGTACAGGAAGCCTGGCACTGGCAACTACTCAGATCTGGTGAGGCTTCAGGGAGCTTTTATTTATGGTGGTGAAGGCAAAGCGGGAGCAGACATGTCACATGGCAAGAGAGGGAGCGAGAGAGAGTAGGGGAGAGAAGGTACCACACACTTTTAAACAATCAGATCTTGTGAATAGTCACTATTGGGAGGACAGCACCAAGCCATGAGGGATCTACACCGATGTCCCAGTCACCTCCCACCAGGCTCCTCCTCCAGCACTGGGGATTACAATTCAATATGAGATTTAGAGGGGACAACATCCAAACTCTATCAGAAATCTAGGGGTTTTTACACACCAATTCTCATCAATTATCAATTAAGGCGGCTTGGTGTAGGGCACATTAGTATCTTAGGCCATTCTGATCTTCTGGGCAAGTGGGCATAACTGGCATGTTAGCCAAAGAAAGTTCTGTTGCAAAAGATGGCTGTCAGATGTCAGCATGCCCTGAAATGATAAGTTAAAAGAATATGTAGTGGGCATTGCCCTCATTTGCTACAGTGTAAAACAATAAAGTTTATAACAATGAATTTCCAGAAGTATATTCTTAAATTTACTAGAATGTTCAAAAAGAAAAAGAAATAATTGAATGATGAGTCTGGTGGAGCAGACTCATAATTATCATGAACTCATAATAATATGAGTATATGAATAATAATATGCTCTAGTGGAGCAGACTCATAAATATTATGGTACATTATTTTAAGCTTACACTCCTTGACTCAACTTCCCAAAAGTTCAGTTAGATTATTGTCTCTATACTAATGTCATACCATAGAAATATTACCTGAAATCTAAAAATAAAACAATATTTGCCATGTACCTCCACATTCTAAACTGAGGTGCTACACCATTAGGGAGGACGTACATGGAGGTGATCAAGAGATGGCATACAAGCGTTAAGCCTTCAACTTTTTTAGGGTATGAAAGAGAGAGACAGTTGGAGGTTGGTGGAGAGGAATATTTGAAGTTATCTCTCAGAGTATTCTTTTACCCCTCCCTCCATAAGGAAAGAAGGAACTAATCTTAAGTTTGTTGATGAGAGATTGAAAAGTACTACTGGAGAACTTCGTGTCTCTTATCTGGAATTTGGTGAGTGCTAGAACAAGTACCTTCCTCACACATGCCCAAAGTAATTTATAGATTCAATGCTATCTCCATCAAGCTCTCATTAACTTTGTTCACAGAACTGGAAAAAACTACTTTAAATTTCATATGGAACCAAAAAAGAGGCCGCATGGCCAAGAAAATCCTAAACAAAAAGAACAAAGCTGGAGGCATCATGCTACCTGACTTTAAACTATACTGCAAGGCTAAAGTAACAAAAACAGCATGGTACTGGTACCAAAACAGATATCTAGACCAATGGAACAGAGAGGCCTCAGAAATAACACCACATGTCTACAACCATCTGATCTTTGACAAATCTGACAAAAACAAGTAATGGGGAAAGGATTCCCTGTTTAATAAAAGGTGTTGGGAAAACTAGCCATATGCGGACAACTGAAACTGGACCCCTTCCTTACACTTTATACAAAAATTAATTCAAGATGGATTAAAGACTTAAATGTTAGACCTAAAACCATAAAAACCCTAGAAGAAAACCTAGGCAATACCATTCGGGACATAGGCATGGGCAAAGACTTCATGACTAAAACACAAAAAGCAATGGCAACAAAAGCCAAAATTGACAAATGGGATCTAATTAAACTAAAGAGTTACTGCACAGCAAAAGAAACTATCATCAGAGTGAACATGCAACCTACAGAATAGGAGAAAATTTTTGCAATCTATCCATCTGACAAAGGGCTAATATACAGAATCTACAAAGAACTTAAACAAATTTACAAGAAAAAAAACAACCCCATCAAAAAGTGGATGAAGGATATGAACAGACACTTCTCAAAAGAAGACATTTATGCAGCCAACAAACGTAGGAAAAAAAGCTCATCATCACTGGTCATTAGAGAAATGCAAATCAAAACCACAATGAGATACCATCTCACCCCAGTTAGAATGGTGATCATTAAAAAGCCAGGCAACAACAGATGCTGAAGAGGATGTGGAGAAATAGGGACAATTTTACACTGTTGGTGGGAGTGTAAATTAGTTCAATGATTGTGGAATACAATGTGATGAGTCCTCAAAGATCTAGAACCAGAAATACCATTTGACCCAGCAATCCCATTACTGAGTATATACTCAAAGGATTATAAATTATTCTACTGTATAGACACGTGCACATGTATGTTTATTGCAGCACTATTCACAATAGCAAAGACTTGAAACCAACCCAAATGCCCATCAGTGATAGGCTGGATTAAGAAAATGTGGCACATATGCACCATGGAATACCATGCAGCCATGAAAACGATGTCCTTTGCAGGGACATGGATGATGCTGGAAACCATCATTCTCAGCAAACTAAGAACAGAAAACCAAACACCGCATGTTCTTACTCATAAGTGGGAGTTGAACAATGAGAACACATGGACATAGGGAGGTATCACACACTGGGGCCTGTCATGGGTGGGGGACTGGGGGAGGGATAGCATTAGGAGAAATACCTAAGGTAGGTGACGGGTTGATGGGTGCAGCAAACCACCATGGCATGTATATACCTATGTAACAAAACTGCACGTTCTGCACTGTACCCTAGAACTTAAAGTATAATAAAAAAATTTTTTTAACTGGTTGGTATTCTCTACTGAAGTTGAAGATATGTATATGCCATAACCAAGCAATTCTACTTGTTGTATATGCCTGACAGAAATGTGTGTATATGTGCACCAAAAGACATGTGCAAAACTATTTATAGCAACACTGTTTAAAATACCCCAAAGCTGAAAACAACCCACATGTTTGTTCATCAGCATAAAGGATAAATAAACTGTGATCTAGTCATACAATGCATTATACAACAAAGAAAATGAACTACGAGGCCAGGCGCAGTGGCTCACACCTGTAATTCCAGCACTTTGGGAGGCTGAGGCAGGCAGATCACACAGTCAGGAGCTCGAGATCAGCCTGGCCAACATGGTAAAACCTGTCTCTACTGAAAAAATGCAAATATTAGCTGGGCGTGGTGGCAGACGCCTGTAATCCCAGCTCTCAGGAGACTGAGGCAGGAGAATCATTTGAACCTGGGAGGCAGAGCTTGCAGTGAGCCGAGATCGTGCCATTGCAATCTATACTACAATGCTATAAACTATACTACAAGGCTAAAGTAACAAAAACAGCATGGTACTGGTACCAAAACAGATATATAGACCAATGGAACAGAGAGGAACTACAGCCTGGGTGACAAGGCGAGACTCTCAAAAAAAAAGAAAGAAAAGAAAATGAACCACAATAGCTCCATATAGTAACATGGATAAATCTTACAAACGTAATATTGAGTGAAGGAAGGCAGGCACAAAACATACATATTGTATCATTTCAATTGCCTGTCTAAGAAACATAACTGATGTATGGTGTTAAACTGCTTTTGGGGAGTGAGTGAAGGTATAGTGATTAGAAGAGGGCATAAGGAAAGAATACTGGGGTGTTGGTAATGCTCTGTAACTTGACCTGAATAGTGGTTACTGGAGTGTGTATGCCTTGTGCCAGATTCATTGAGCTGTACATATACATTCTGAGCATTTTTTAGTATTTGTATAACTGTTATATTTTAGCTTAAAAAAGTTATTAAAAAAAGATTAGCCACGTGTTTTGTAGTCATTTGACTCACTGAGGGCTAGTCTCTCTTTGAGTATGCTATTGATAAATAAATGTCCCCCAAAGATGTTCACATTCCTACTCCCCAGAACCTGTACATGGTACCTTAGATGGCAAAAAGGACTTTGTAGATGTGATTAAATTACCAATCTTGAGACAAGAAAATTATCCCGGATTATCCAGGTGGGTTCAATATAATCACAAGGGTCCTTATAAGAGGGAGGTAGCAGGGTCAGAGTTGGAACGATGCACCGAAACCCTTGAATGGCCATTGTTGGCTTTGAAGGTGGAAGGGGTCAGAAGTCTAGGAATGCAGGCAGTTTCTAGATGCAGGAAGGGCAAGGGAATGGATTTTACTGAGAGCCTTTAGAAGGAAGGAAGCCCTGCCAATACCTTGTTTTCGGCCCCATAAGACCTAATTTTGGACTTTAACCTCCAGAACTTAAGATAAATCTGTGGTTGTAAGCCACCAAATTGGTTGTAATTTGTTACAGCAGGAATAGAAAATTAACACAGTAGCTTACACATTGTGCTGGTCAGAGCACACTGCACATAATAGGTACTCTGCGAATGTGTATTGGATGAATGGACAAGCTCCCGACATGCCAGATTCTTAATTATGATGAAAGAATATTATAAATAAAGAAAGGTGTTTATGTCTGTGAGAATTCAAGACCGGTATCATGTGGTGTGAGCAGGCCGTTTTCTTCTAGTCTCTCTCCCACTGATCTTCCACATCTCAAGCTTTCCAGACTAAACACCTGGAGGTGCAGTGAACAGAGCACAGGATAAGGCTTTGACCTTATCAGACAACAAAAGTGAAGATGAAGATGTAGGTAAAAGTGTCATAATTAAAGCATCTTCTTACTCTACCGGAGACATTCATTTGTCTGGAAGGAGTTAGAATTCTTTATGAAAGAAAAGTAGAGAGAAATAAGACTGAGGTAATATTAGTCTTTTGACATCCAAATGGATTAATTATGCCATGCATCAACTTTAGGACTCAGTCACAGAAATGTAGCACATCACAGTCAAGTAGAGAGAGCCCCTGGGGTTTAACTTTACAAAGATGCCTTGAGTTTTTATGTGATTTAGATACTGAATTGAAACCTGGTGGGCTCTTATAGGCCTCCATAGCCGAATGAGTTGACTTGACAATAACAGAGTGTGGAATGCTGGACCAACTTGTAGGCTGGAGGATGTGGCAATCAACTCAGGGTTATGCAGACAGCAAAATTTTTCTTACAGCATTAGCAACTCAGAAACATTGTCCCTGTAGAAAGTGTAGACCCCATGTGAACTAGCCAGTTCAGCAGTGGTGTCCTGCAGAATGCTGAACAACTAGGTTCATAAAAAACAGTGCTCGAGAGACCAGCAGATGGAGCTGCTGCAACAGAAAAACAAGGCTGAGGCTAGAGTTCCTTCTCAGCACCAGAAGCTTGAATAAACCACACTCTTTCCACCACACATTGGGATGAGAAGCAGGGGAAGGCTTTCTTAGTAATCAAGCATCATTTTATCCAACAGAGAATGAATAATTCCTAAAAATATACTAAATTGTCAGGTTAGACTAAATGAAAATTAGATTGAACTATTAGTTTGGTTTGTTGTTTTTTTCTCCTGCTAACCAGTGGATGGGGATTTGAGACGAATATCAAATTATAGACTAAAATAAAGAGAGTAAAATGTTTCTGTACGTTATCTGAGTCATAGTATAAGCCTTAGGATCACCCCCTATTGCCCTTCTGAAGTCATTGATATTTCTCCTTGGATAAGGTTTTCAAAAGAGGAAAGAGAATCACAGAAAGAGAAAGAGTGAGAGATCACAGAAGGGCATATTAATTTACCTTTTTTTCTTCCATTCTCTCTTTCCTGTTTCTGTTTCCTATCTGTCTTTGAGTTTGGGAAGTTGGAGAGAATTTGAACTTGAATCCATAGACCTATTTCTGCTATGTAATTCTTCCTTCTCTTTGTTTTAGAGAATGCTCTTCAGGCAGGAAAGTTTCTCATGAATACCTCCATTCAGCAAACTTTACTAAAGATAAGTGTGAGACCCTGTAATAAACATAGGATATAAAAAAGAGGGAGAAGAGAAACCTGGCTATGGCCCTCACACAGGGAGCAGGGGAAATAGAGAAATCGGCATTTAAACAAGTGATTGCTGCAACAACTATAGTTGAAGAGAAAGGAGCTGAGATTAATTTTTATATTACCTATTTCAAGGCTCATGTTTGTGAAGATATCCCTGACATCCAATCAGTTATGTCTTCATCTTTTGTCAATGTTTACACCTTGCATTTCCATGCTACTTATATTTTATTCTGTCTTCTGTTCACATTCTTCTGGTATATAAAGGAATTTTATTTTATTTTATTTTATTTTTTAATTTGTATATATATATATATACACATAGTAGGTGTATATATTTATGGGGTACATGAGATATTTTAATGCAGGAACACATGATAATCACATCAGAGTAAATGGGGTACCCATCACCTCAAGCTTTCATATTTATTTGTGTTAGAAACATTCCCATTATACCGTTCGCATTCTTTCCACCAGTTTTTGCACATCCTTGGAAGAAAATCTATGTCTAATCTACTCCCTAAAGCTCTGGGTCCTGGCAAAATTGTAGACACATAGGAAATGAGTGTGAAATAATCTCACTCTCAAGCTGTGCAAAAACCTATGCTCAAAGATGTTAATTGCCGTGCTATTTATAATAGTGAAAATGTAGGAACCTGGTTGGCTGTCAGTAGTGACCTGGTTAATTACATACAAAGGGATATTATGTAGGCTTTAAAGTTAATTATTAAACTATACCAATATTTGTTGACCTAGAAAGATATCCCTAGTAGATTTTGAGTGAAAATGAGATTATAGGAGAGTATATATACTATACATTGCCATAAATGCAAAATTATACATATTTAACTATGTGTCTATATGCCTGAAAGAATTGCTATTAAAATGTTCACAGAAGGTAATTTGAATGGTGGGATTTTGTGTGCTTTTTTCTTTCTTATGTTTTCCTACATTTTCAAACATTTTTTCAGTGACTACACGTTATTTAAAAAAAAAAACAACAACAAAGATTTTCAAAAATTCCATCAAAATTTGATTCTTTTCTGTTTTCATATTTAAAACTTAAACATCACATTTCATAGTAGCTCTCAATGGGGCAATCCAAATATTTTAAGGACATTTGACAATGTTTAGAGACATTTTTGTTGTCATAACTGTGAGGAGTGCTGCTAGCATCTAGTGAGTAGAGGCCAGAGGTGCTGCTAGACATCCTATAATGCACAGAACAGTTCCCCACAATAAATTATCTGGCCCTAAATGTTAACTGTGCTGGAGTTGGGAAAATCTCAGAATTCAGTATCCTGATCTGCTCTTTATCGCCATCTGTTGGTGAAAGACATGTCTGCAACTTCCACGCAGTTTTAGCCAGAAGCCAAACTTAGGGCCTCGGAAATAAGATGGGATGCCTAAGAATGGTAGCTATGGTTAGCATGGGAGTCAGAAAAACAGCAAATTAATTCGTCACTGTGACTGTCTATGATGCTCTTACTAAGACCAGTAGTTGCTTTGACACTGCCAATCTGTATCTATAAAATGATACATCATGATTTCCATTTTTTAGCCTTATTGGAACTCCAGAGACCAAGAAAAGCTACAAGCTGAGGCAGAAAAGGCTGCGGGTAAATTTTATGGACTTAACCTGGCTGATATAAGGGGGTAATCTCTACTTGCACACATAGGTGCCTCCCCAGTACATAGGATGATAAAGCTTTAGCTCTGCCAGGAACAATTTCAGACTGGAACACATGGGACCAAGGCAAGGCTCCTTGTTTTGGCTCAATTTAACTACTACGTCCATCTCACACCTCCTCCTAAGGAATATATTTGCAAGGCCTAGGCTTCCACCTTTAACCCCACCCCTCCTACCCCCAATTCCAAGGCCATGTGAGAAAAAAAATCTATTCTAGCTCTGCTCATCAGTTTTATCTCCTTTATTTTTATTTGCCAGTTTTATGTTGTCTATTGATCACTTACTAATGAGTTGCCCATCTAGCAACTATGTCTCATGCTTCTCTCTACTACTCTCAATAGGGCTGTGGGCCACTGCTTGATGTATGAGGGGACTCAACTCCGGAGATGGGGCTCAGACACTGGACCAAATAGAGGACTAGCTAAAACAGGGACTGGGCAGGAGCAGCTTTTGATAAGACATTCCCACCAGTGTGCCATGATAGTTCACCTGTGCCATGGCAACATCTGGGAGTTACCACCCCTTTCTATGGCAATGCTACCTTCAGCACACTGTCTGTGGGGTAGCCCTGCTCTGCAAAGGCAGTCACAAAGCTGTAACACCACCAGAGCTGTAACACTCCTGCTTCAAAAAGGCTGTTTTCTTCTACCCTACCACCGGCTCACCATTGAAAAAATAAAAAATAAAAACATCCAACTGCCCATTTGTAGCTCATAATCCACTTTTGTAACACGTTGCTATCTATATTTTGTAGAAAGTGGGAAACTAAAAGGAAAAAGTAATTAAGCATTTGCTAAACTTAGGCTAACTGAAATCCCCTGTAGAGACCCTTAATAGACATTGGGACAAAAATAAGCATCCCAAAAGACTCACCACTAGGGTGTCTTTTAGACAGTTGGAGTTGGAGTAAATTCAAATTATTAGACAAATTGAAAAGGAAAAAAACTCATTTACTATTGCAATAACGTTTGAATTCAATAAAAATTGGCAAACCAACAGATTTGGCCTAGGCATGCTTCTTTACATTATAATGATACTGTACAAGTAGATTTGCTTTGTAAAAAGGAAGGAAAATGGGAAGAAGTTCCTTAATGTGCAGGCTTTTATAACCCTCTACCAGGATTCTAACTTAAGGGCTACCTGTAGAACATGTCTGGTTCATGATACCCCCAGGCACCCAGAAGACATGCCAGATATCCTAGATGACCTCTCCTAGCTACTACTCCTAGGAGACCTGTGGCCCTCTTCAGATCCCCCACCAGTTCTCTAGTGCAAGGTTCCACCTTAAGGTCGTCAGGCACCCCTCCCACTTATCCAACAAGCCCTGGCCCGTATCCTCTACTGCCTGAAGAAGTAAACCTAACCAGTACCACCAGGAACGGGGCCCCATATCAGCCCCCAGAATTGAAAATGTTTTCATTGCAGTGGGTAGCTGATGGAGATGGAGGAGTGGCCGGAGTGTATGTGCCTTTTTCTATGCCTGATTTGGCTTTGTGCAAGCAAAAATATGGTCAGTTTTTGGAGGATCCAGGCAAACATGTAGAGGAGTTTGTTAAGTTGACCATGTCTTTTTATTTAACTGTGCAAATATTATCCACTTCTTGTACTGTAGAGGAAAAACAAAGAATTCTAGGTATTGCTCATGAACATGCAGATGGGGTGGCTGCACTAAAACAGGCCTTGCCATTTTATGTGGGAGTAGAAGCAGTTCCAGATCTAGATCTTCAATGGGATTATCGGAGAGGATGTCAAGATCTTGAACACAGAAATCATGTGCTAATTTGTTTAATAGGTGGTATAAAAGAGCATGAGGTTAAACCAGTTAATTATGATAAGGTGAAAGAAATAACCCAAAAGAAAGATGAAAATCCCATTTCATTTCAGGGCCATTTGGTTGAAGCATTCAGGAAATATACTAATACAGACCCAGACTCCCCAGAAGGGTAAGCTCTCCTGGGTGCACATTTTACTACTCAGTTTGCCCCTGACATTAGGAAGAAGCTACAAAAAGTATCAATGGGATCCCAAACCCCCATGAGCCAACTTTTAGATATTGCCTTTGGAGTTTACAATAATAGGGACAGTGCAGAGGAAGAGGCAAACACCAAAAGAACTGGCCAATAAGCACAATTGTTAGTGGCTGTTTTAGGCACTACTGCCTCAGGATTACCCACCTCAAGGAAGTGTGGTGAGACTGGCATCTGGGATGCTCAGATGAGAGCCCCCACTCACCAGCCTCTAGGCCAACATCATTGCACCTTCTGTAATTAAGAAAGCCACTGGAAGAAGGACTGCCCCAGGCTTAAGAGGGAGTCTGAAACACCCATACTTATAATGGCCAAGAAAGCAGACGCCTGAAAAGGCCTGAGGTCTTCTATGGGTCCCACTAGACACCTTACCATCGCCATGAAGGAGCCTCAGTAACCCCTGATAGAGCAGGCAAGAATACTGAGTTCTTATTGGACACAGGAGGTGACTACTTAGTTTTAACCTATTTCTCAGGGCCACTGTCTTACCACTCTTGTCCAGCAACAGGAATTGATGGCCAACGAAAAATTAGGAGAGCTGCCCTCCTCCTTGGTTACACCATTGAGGACCATACATTTTCCCTCAGTTTTACTTATGCCTGAGTGTCCTAGCCCTCTACTGGAGGGAGACTTACTTTCCCAATTACAGGATACAGTTCAATTTAGGGTGCCTCATAAGAAGGCAACAGGCCAGGAAGCGATGTTTCTCCTAGCTCTAAGTGCTTGCCTTAACACAGATAAGGAGAAGACCTCCCTTGCATCACACATTGCTTCTTGAGTAGACCCCTCTATTTGGGACATGGAAGTTCCCTGAAGAGCTGTTAATGTACTCCCAAGTCCAGGTTATTTAAAAACCCAATGTTAATTTCCCATGGGAAAAAAAAAACAATATTTTTTGATACCTGAGTCTCAGAGGGGCATCCAGCCCTGAATAGCAAAGTTCCTAAAGTAGGGGTTATTATAGTCCTGTCAGTCTCCATGTAACACTCCTATTTTGCCTGTAAAGAAACCAAATGGGGAATATAGATTTGTTCGGGTCTAAGGACAGTTAATGAGGAAGTAGTCCTAGTTCACCCAATAATTCCTGATCCTTATACAATATTGATTTAAGTCCCTGAAGACACTCATTGGTTCACAGTGTTAGACTTAAAGGATGATTTATTTTGTATACCTTTATACCCAGGCTCCCAGTATATTTTTGCTTTCAAATGAACTGATCCAGACACTCATGCTGAACCTCAGCTTACCTGGACAGTCCTTCCCCAAGGTTTTAAGGACAACTCCCATCCCTCTGGCAATGCATAGGATAAGGAATTAAGGGAACTATAGTTAACTAATGAGGCCCTCTTACAATATGTAGATGACCTATTAGTTTCGAGCCCTACCAGGGAAGACTCTGAAAGAAACACCATCCAGTTTCTTAATTTTCTGGAAAAGTAAGGGGATTGGATATCCCCTCATAAGGTCCAGAACTCTGTTTAGAAGGTTAAATATGTGGGGTATGTGCTCACTCCTGGGACAAGGACTTTGGCCCAGGAACAAAAAGAGACCATTTTGGCACTCCAGCCCCTTCAAACTAAGAGACAGTTAAGAGCCTTTTGGGGAATGGCCAGATTCTGCCAGATCTGGATTCCCAGGATTGGGCTTATGGCAAAACCACTCTATAAAGCTCTAAAAGACAGTGATCACAAGCCTTTGAATTGGGATGGAACCTGCCAATAGTCATTCTTAACCCAAAGAAAACCAGGAACCGCTCCTGTTTTGGCACTCCATAACTTAGAAAAACCTTTCACCCTCTATGTGGCTGAAAAACAAGGGATGGCTTTGGGCGCCCTAACTCAAAGGCTCGGGATTATCCCTAGACCAATGACTTATTTTTCTAAACACCTAGACCAGGAAGTCCCAAACTTTCCCACATTTTTCTGTCTTCTTCTGAGCCCTCCAAACTGTTCCAACCTCTGCCTGTTACACCGTTCCAAAATCGTTTCCACATTTTCAGGTATCTTTTCAGCAACACCACACTCTACTGGTACCAGTTTACCGTACTATTCTGTTTTCACACTGCTGATAAAGACACACCCAAGACTGGGCAATTTACAAAAGAAAGAGGTTTATTGGACTTACTGTTCCACATGACTGGGGGGGCCTCACAATCATAGTGGAAAGGAAGGAGGAGGAAGTCACATGTTACGTGGATGGCCACAGGCAAAGAGAGAGCTTGCACAGAGAAACTCTGGTTTTTAAAGCCATCAGATCTCATAAGACCCATTCACTCTCACTAGAACAGCATGGGAAAGATCAGCCCCCATGATTCAATCATCTCCCACCAGGTCTCTCCCACAACACGTGGGAATTATGGGAGCTATAAGATGAGATTTGGGTGGGGACGCAGAGCCAAACCATACCAGTTCTAATTGTAAAGAGGAGTTATTTTGGGATTGTTCAGGTACACTGACTCTTTTTTTTTTTTTTTTTTTGAAACAGAGTCTCACTCTGTCCCCCAGGCTGGAGTGCAGTGGCGCAATCTCGCCTCACTGCAAGCTCCACCTCCTGGGTTCAAGCCATTCTCCTGCCTCAGCCTCCCAAGTAGCTGGGACTACAGGAGCCTGCCATCATGCCCAGCTAATTTTTTTGTATTTTTAGTAAAGATGGGGTTTCACTGTGTGAGCCAGAATGGCCTCGATCTCCTGACCTCATGATCCGCCTGCCTTGGCCTCCCAAAGTGCTGGGATTACAGGCACGAGCCACCGTGCGCGGCCTACACTGACTCTTTTATTCAGACACTAGGGCTCTTTTGTGGTCATTGAGTATCATTGTTTTTTTCAAATCTTCAAGGATGTCCTTCTTTTGGATTTTGGCCCATGAGTTAGGGATTTTACCATTACCTGTAATTTTTTTTCCTGATATTTATATTCTAGCTTTGATCTGAAGTGAGAAAGAAACCATTTCCAAGATGGCTGGGTGGAGGAATCTGGAGGGATGCTCCCCGTGGCATAATCCACTCCTGCCTTTTGATACTTATATGGGATTTTTCCATCATTGCTCAAAACCAATAAACAATCACTTGCTACAAAACTAGTAGAGCAAGCCATGACAGAATGGCCTGTTTTATACTATTCCTCTCCATAGACAGCCTGAGGACAGGGGAAGGGAACACCATGGTCTCCTTCGTGTGTAGGAATTGTGTTTGTACAAATTGCTTCACAGCAGGGACACTGTTTCCAGCAGCCACAGAGATGTTCAGAGAGCATTTTCTCAGTTTTAGAAACCATTACTTCCATAGGCATACTTGAATAATGCTGTTCTATTCTCCTCATTGTGAGATCCAAAGCCGCACTCATGTCTTCTCTGAGAAACTCAGTATCTTTTATCTCCTGGTGTTTAATCCTTGTCAAGTCTCTCTGTGGAAAGATCAAGTTGCTCTCCAGGCGATCACAGAATAAATCCAACCACCAGAAGCAGTGCTGCTTTTATCTTTAGCTACTGATGTGGATTCATGAAGGGCAGGGAGGATGCCATTATTAATGTCAACTAAACTTTTCTCAAAAAAATCTTCATTTTTTTACCTGCATTGTCTAAACAGTATCTCTTAATATTGATTTTGATGTAATTCCTTAAAAAGCTATTCTTATTATGAAAGTATTGCCAGTAATGATCAAAGTTTTCTTCTTCTCCCAGAGAGACGAGAATGTGTTTCTCCAGGTTAGTCCTGTTTTCACTGAATGCAGGGCAGGTAGCTCACATGTCCCCACAATTTTAATGGTTATTTTTCCCCCATATGATGGTAGAGACAGCAGGAACGAGCTTGTGCCCCAGAAAATCAGTAAGTGTTTTGCTGGAGGTTGCTTCTTGGCAGGAAATCTTAAACCTCATCAAGAAATCATTTTTCTTGCTTTCTAGATAGTTTACAGGATCATTTGCTCTCTTGAATGCCCTGTGCATTTCTTTAGAATTCTCTGTTGCTCACTGGAATAAACACAAGCATAAGCTGATAATATATTTATTTTTAAATGTGTATCTTTCCTGAGTAGATGCAGGTTTCACTTCTTCCTCTGTTGTCTTTAGAATTTTCTGGATGTATTTGGATTGTAATCACATTGCTTTTTCCAAATATTGTTAATAGTTTTATTAAATCTTGAAACAATATGATCAGTAGTCATATTCATGAACTCTTTCTCAAGGACGATTAATGTCATTTACCTGTAATTTTTTTCTGACTATTAATGTCATTGAGAAAGAGTTCATGAATATGACTACTGATCACATTGTTTCAAAATTGTTACATTTCTTATTCATTTTGACATATTTGTCATAATTGATTTGAAACTTCTCTGCAGAATTTCTTGTTAGTATGTCCATGACATCCATCTCATGTTTTAAATACTCTGAAAGGATGTTTTCAGAATCCAAATCAGTGTCAGGCTCTGTGACTTTAGGAAGAGTTGTGGACACATCACAGACCCTTTTTTTCCGACATTGATTGAATTTCTCATGTAAGTCTTCCTCACTCAACTTTTTAGCCTTTACAATTAAAAACAATTTTCGGCTCCTTTCCAATAGTTTGTTTTTATAATCTCTCTTTTTCTTATCCAGTCTTTCTTAAATTTTTTAAAAAACGAATAAGTTCATTGGCTTTTCTTTTGCTGTCTGAAAGAAGTTGCTCTTTAAGGATTATTAGCTTATTTTCAAAATTGAACTCATTTTTCAAAATTTAACTTATGTTTCCATTGAACTTATATTTTATTCTCTGGGTCTTCATTAAAATGTGTTTCAAGTTCTTGCTTGATGGCTTCATATTCTTCTGTAACTGGAGCCTCAAATATGCTTGTTTCGAGTGTCTGAATTTTTCTTTTCTGAATCTGGTTGGTCAGCTGGTTCCGTTAGCCAAACACATGATTCTTCAGCTCCCAGGTCCAGTGGGGTTACACATGGTTTCCAGTTTGCTCATGGCCATGACTTCTTGGATGTTCCTGAAATGAAAAATAAAGTTCTCATGCACCAGAGCTCTCCACACCTTTCACATGTGTGCTAGACATCATTGTGGGTGTTCTCAATATTGATGGGCTTTTTAGTTGTCAAGGTGAGTTGCAATTTGATAGCCTAATTTTGGCACTTCCTCTTACATAGAATCAGTTGGAGAAATTTCTATCCAACTAGAAATATGTCAAATTAAGAACAGGAACAATGAATATCATTCTTATTACTGCTATGCAAACTGTGAATATTTATAACTTCTCTGGTCTTTGTCAATATAAATTTCTCCTCAGAAGGAGACTTTTAAGGTTCTTGGACTTCAAAAACTGCTACCTTGCCCAATGGAAATAACATAACTTCAAAAATAATCCTGCAATTCTGAATGCTTGCCTTATTAAGAATTTATTGCATCTATCTTAAATTTATAATTGATATATCTGTGTTCTTAAATGGTGTGGATACTTAAAAATATCAAATCAGAAGTGTGTTTTTGACCTTTCTTCTTAAAATGCAAAGAACAAATAAATGACTGTTACTCTCTTAGTGCTTGTGTTTAATAAAGAACTTGAGTTTTAGAAATTTAAATCACTGGAGGGATGTAGAAAAAGAGCCTCAGATGTTGCAAAAAAAATTGCTCACACACAGAAGTCACATGTTACCTTAGTGGGCTTCATTTTTCTCACTGTCAGGGCAGGAACAGATGGGAATTTTGATAAAAGAATCACTGAAATTGAGTGTTTCCTCTTTTTTCTGTAAAGCTCTGAGTTTATCGTGCGTCTGGGCCTAATCACTATTCACCCCATTTAATTAAGAAACTATGAAATGTTAATTCAGTATAAAGGGCTATTATCCTCAGAGGTGAAAGGCAAATAAGGGAGCTGTTTTGCAGGCATCTCTGTCCATCAGAGATAAGAAAAATGAGAGCTTTCGTTTAGATGGGCAGTTGCAGAGGCAACCATGGTTTCTTCTCTGTTAGACCACATAGTGTCATGGGAAGAAAGCTAGACTTAGAGTTCTCTGTCTGCTTCTTACTACCTGTGTGATCTTGGGTTTGTCATCTATCTCCTGTGATTATTTTTCTTTTTCCTATCTTGAAAATGGCCATTACCAAAACCATTTCTCATTAAGATGATCAACTGACATATTTTAGTTTTCTATTGCTGCATAACAAATTACCACAAACTTAGAGGTTTGAAATGGCACACATTTATTATTTTGTAGTTTCTGTAACCAGAAGTCCAGGTAAAGTACAGCTATGTTCTCTACTTTAGGATGTCACCAGATTGTAATCTAGTGTTGACTGAGATCATGGTCTCATCGAGGATTTGACTGGAGCTCTGGTTTGAGTGTTTGTCTGTTCTCAATTAATGTTGAAATTTGGTTCCTATTGTGGGGGTGTTAGAAGATGGAGCTTTTGGGAGGTGAGAGGGCCATGAGAGTTCTTGCCTCATAGATAGTATTAATGCTGTTATAAAAGGGTGATTTCAGCCCTCTTTTGCCTGTTTGCTCTTCTGCCATGTAAGGACATGGTGGTCCCAATGTAAACATGGTCCAGTTCCCATATGAACATGGTGTTCGCAAGAAAGCATAAACAGGCTTCCTTTCAATCAGCAGATTTAGAAACAAAAAACAAATACGAAAGTAAAACCTTACAGCAGGAAGTTTTGCACTGCTCTGAGGATAAACTCAGTTTCCTGTCTCACATAAGGGGCCAAAGCCTGGGGTGAAGCTGTACGTCGGCAGCCCCAGCCCCAGAAAAGGAACCTACTCTCCATGCACGTCTCTCTGGAGCAACCTGAAGACAGGATCTTGGCCTCAGGACAGGTAGGTAAAGAACAGAGGAAATAGAGCAGACAGAGAGATACAGCAACAGACCCAGAAACTAAAGTAGAAAGAGAAATTGATGTAAATAAACATAGGGAGCAGTCAGACACAGGGAGATTAAGACATGCTGGGAATACAAATGTGGATTTGGCATTGTCATTAATAGAGCATACTAATGTCCAATATGTGGCATTTAAGGGAAGAGAGTGAGCCAGATGGTAGGAAAAGGAAAAAGACTGGTTCCAAAAAGCTACAAATCTGGGAGAAGAAGGAGTATATAATTGAAACAGACAAAAAACATTTTGGTAACTTTTGTTATCAAATAAAAACAAACACATTTTTAGGTAAAGAGAGACTTTATTCACAAGGATCATTGCAACAAGAGGAAGGAGAGTATTGCAATAGAGAAAACCATCCAACCACAAGAGCTACAAGCATCTCAAAGACCAGAGAGAAAAAGATTTCCTTTTATGGTGAAGGATCAACAAAGCTAGAAAGATATCAGTATGGGGACAGGAAGATCACCATGAAATGTTTTACCCAAGGTCAGCTGATTCTTAGGAGGGTTGTATGCTGGGTCAGAAGAAGGATAGATCAAAACTCACGAGCATGGAAGAGGAAGAGAAATTTAACTGATATTCGGTCAAGTTAATAATCACTTTGTTTCTACTGTCCAGTGAGGATAAACAGTTCAGCTAATCTTTTATGAAGCTGAGAATGAGAATTTAAAGAGTCTGTGTCTGGCCTATCATAAAAAAAAAGACACATATGCCTTATCTAAGTCATATGGGGAGGGGTGGTTTTTTGTAATAATCCCTTTCTCAGAACACAAAAAAAGTGGATGGATTTCTTTAACCATAACTGTTTTCCAGGAACAAAGGGCTCAAGTAAAAAAGTTTCATGTTGTTAATTTGACTCATTTGAATAATAGCTAGTATTGCAAACACAGAAAAGAGAGTTGCTAACTTGACCTGGAAAATTAATGAAGCTTCACAAATAAAGAGAAACATGAACTAGGTCAGGAGTGTAAAATCCTAGGGAGAGAAAGTAGGGAAGGGTTCATATAGTGAAATATGCAAAGTCAAGAAACATCTTGAGGTCCTTGAGGTGGAGGGAAGATGGCTGATGTGGCATTTAAGGGAAGAGAGTGACCCAGATGGTAGGAAAAGGGAAAAGAGTGGTTGTAAAAAGGAATTACAGAGGTTAATTGCTGCCACATTATGAGGGGTCTTAACGGCCAGGGTCACGTAGTTTTCATTGTATCATAAACGAATGTAGGATTTCAAAAGTTTGTAAACAAAGAAGTAAATGATTTAAATACGATTTTCAGGATGGAATGTAGAAAATGGATCACAAGAGGAGTGAGAAAATAGATTCAAGGGCTACTCTCACAGAATAGGCAAATAGGGCACACTAATGTCCAATATGTAATGGGTATTCAACAGGAAGCAAAATTATGGGGGAAGAACTAGGAAAACGAAGCTTCCACGACATAAAAGTTTCCTGCTTCACCATTTCACCATCAAAACTGGGTGGATTTCCTTTATCAAAAATTTTCCTAGAAGAAGATGTGGCCAAAGGGCTAGAGCCAGGAATTTAGGATGAGTTTTTAATTGAATAAACCTTTCTACATAGTTAATCCAACAAGTCCAAAGAACAACTCCTAATCCAAAGGAATAGTAAGATATAGGGTAGGTGTCAGAGTCTGAGGCAAACTAAAATTTGGTAGAAACTAGAAAAGACAAGAAGGGCCTAAAGCATCACATAGTTAACAGCAGAGATACATCTCCTCAAAGAGGTACGCTCTAAGCACAAAATCTAAAGTAGTCTCAAGTGACCTTTAATCCCATTACTTCCTTATTTCTTTCTTAGCACTTAAAAAACTCTGAAAATGTTATCTACTTATTCATACATTTACAAGTTCATAATCCTTCCTCTATTAAAATGTGAATTCTGTAAGGGTAGGGATCTAATCTATTCATCAGTCAACCCACAGCACCTAGAACTTTTTTCAACACACTGAAAGCCCTCAATAAACATGTATGAAGGCTGGGCACGATGGCTCACGTCTGTAATCCCAGCACTTTGGGAGGCCGAGGTGGGTGGATCACCTGAGGTCAGGAGTTTGAGACCAGCCTGGCCAACATGGTAAAACACCGTCTCCACTAAAAATACAAAAATTAGCCAGGTGTGGTGGCGGAACCTGTAATCCCAGCTACTCAGGAGACTGAGGCAGGAAAATTGCTTGAACCCAGAAGGTAGAGGTTGCAGCCAAGATCGACATCATGCCACCCTGGGCAAAAGAGCAAAACTCCGTCTCAAAAAAAAAAAAAGCGTGAAACAAATTCTGGGATTTTTAGCTTATCTTTGATAAATCTCTAATCCATGTTACTTGTGTGATCAGTTTCACTTAAAGGAATATTTTCATGATGGATACAAGAAAGGAGAGGCAGTCAAAAAAGACAGGTCCCTAGAATTAGTAGGATGAAAATATTGTAGAGACATCTGACTTGGTAATTTGAATGTGAGCATCAGGCTTATAGAGAACTTTTTAAGAAAAAGATGAAGTGAGACTAAATGATGAGAAGTAGGTGGAACGAATTCATCAATTCATTTCATCAACAAACATTTATTGAGCCAGATATGCCTAATTGAAATACTTTTTTGAGAAATCTAGAAATAATGAAAATATAAAGAAAGTAAAAACTTATAGAATAGGCAGGAACCAATTTGCATTTAAGTAGTATGGGAAGCCTCGAGTATGTTTTCTTGTCCAGAGTGAAGCAACCAAGAAAGTAAGATGCTGGAGATATCTTAGACTCAAGAGATAGAAAGCAAGACCCTAGGGGAGATAAGTAGGAGCAGGATTTCAAGGACGGAATTAGTATTGCACAGAGATTAGGGACACTTCTTCCTTGGGGATCAGAAAAAAAAAAACACAAGGGTGGCCACTGTAGTCTTAAATTTGAAGGTGAAACGTTTGAATGTGAGAAAGGCCTGACCAGATGGCTTCTCTAGAATTAGGAAGTGAGGCCATCAAAGGGGAGAGGACCCTTAACATGCTTTGATGTAAATCTTTTTGTCACTCTTAGCTTTTTCTCTAGGCTGCTGGATTTTAGGCTCAAAGACTCTCCCATGCATTTTCTTATTTCTCTCTTCAACCCTATTGTCTAGCAAAGTGCCTGGCACTAAGGAAGAGATAGATAATACAATTCAATATGAAATCATGAAGATGTGATGTCTGATTGTAAGGACTGAAGGAAAGAGAGGTTTCTTTGGAGTCTGAAATGCTGGAAAGATGGGAATATTATAAATTATTTTTGCCAGTTATCTTTCTTTATGTGGAAGTTTACAGTGTTATTCTTTTGTATTTGACTCCTTTCTCACAACTTAATATTGAGAGATTAACCCATATTGTTGTGCAGAGCTGTGGTATTTGTTTTCATTGTTGTATAACATTCTATTGTATGAATATGCCAAACTTTATTTACCCATCTGGATGTGGATGGATATTTGCTTTATTTCCAGTTGTGACTTTTATGAATAGTGCTGCCATGAACATTCTCATAGATGTGTCTTGGTGCATATGTGCACATATTGGCATTTATCTAGAGATAGAAATCTTGGATTATCTCTGCCACTTTATATGTATCCATGATTTCTTGACTGGATTCTTTTCCCTACCTTTGTGGTACTTATTAAAACCAATTCCATTTCATTGTAATCGCTCAAGGGAATCACCTTGCCCATTACCTAGACAGAGCTGATTCATCAAGACAAGGGAATTGCAATAGAGAAAGAGTAATTCACACAGAGCCAGCTGTGTGGGAGACCAGAGTTTTATTATGACTCAAATCAGTCTCCCCAAGCATTCGGGGAGCAGGGTTTTTCAGGACAACTTGGCAGGTTGGGGGAGGCCAGGGAGCCAGGAGTGCTGACTGGTCAGGGACGAAGTCATAGGGAGTCGAAGCTGTCTTCTTGCGCTGAGTTTGTTCCTGGATGGGGACCACAAGATCAGATGAGCCAGTTTATCGATCTGGGTGGTGCCGGCTGATCCATTAAGTACAGGATCTGCAAAATCTCTCAAGCAATGATCTTAGGAGCAGTTTAGAGAGGCTCAGAATCTTTCAGCCTCCAGCTGCATGACTCCTAAACCATAATTTATAATCTTGTGGCTAATCTTAGTCCTACAAAAGCAATTTAGTCCCCAGGTAAAAAGGAAGTCTGCCCTGGGAAAGGGCTGCCACCATCTCTGTTTAAACTATAAACTAAGTTTCTCCCAAAGCTAGTTCAACCCACACCCAAGAATGAACAAGGACAAATTGGAGGTTAGAAGCAAGATGGAGTTAGTTAAGTTAGATCTCTTTCACTGTCTCATTCACAATTTTGCAAAGACGGCTTCATCATTATTCCATTAGTTAGGATATAATCACCCTTTTGTGTGAGTGTCATGACTGCACTCCATCATTATCTGAGACCTTCAAAAATAATTTTCTATTAATATTGCATAAATTCACTCTCACCACAACCACCACATACGCACTGTCCTCATCCATAAAACATTATCTCTCCTATATTGAACCAGCTAGAATTTTAATTAGAAACTGTTCCTAATTTTTACATTATACAACCACAAGTATTTTGCTAATAGTTTTACTTGTTCCTTTACTAATTTGATTGGTATATAATGTTAGGTTCTGGTCATATTATTTAGAATATGATATTACATATTTATATTATAATCATATCCTAAAATATCATATTATATTATAAAAGGATGCTTCCCAGAACTGCAATATGACCTGATTCTTTGCATTGAAAGTATACGTCAAATGTTGAAAAGAATAATTATAATGATAAAATTATAATTTCATTATTTTAAAATTTTGTTTTTATAACTATTTAACAATTTATAATTATTTATAATTGTATTATTTTATTATTATATATTATTAATTAGAATAATTGTATTATTCATTGTGTTCAACATTTGATATATACTTTCAAAAATTTTACAATATTTCAAGTATTACAATAATTATAAGTTATTTTATTAATTATTAATACTTTGATTTGCTTTGTTCAACAGTTGATGTATACTTTCAATATGAAGAATCAGGTCATACTGCAGCTCTGGGAAGTGTTCCTCTATTGTTTCTTTGATCATTTTTCTCCTCTATTCTTTCTAATCTCTCCTTCTCAAAATTATGTTAGTCAGTCAGCATTGGCAGCACTTTTGGATCTATGTTCCATGTCTCTTTAGAGCTCACCCTTTTTCCATTTCTTTATCCTTTGAGGTTAAATTCTGAAACAACCCTCAGTTGAACATTCTAGCATAGCAATAGAGTCTTCAGGTGTGTTCATGCAAACATTCAGCCAGAAAGAATACTTTAGTTGGAAACCAGGATGCAAAAACTCTCAAATGAGTTGTTTCTATATCCAGACCATCCAAAATGGCAAAATTAATATTTTACACTCCCACATTTTCTCCACTGAAAGTGTCTCCTTAGGATAGTGTTTTTTCTTTTTTTCTTTTCTTTTCTTTTCTTTTTTTTTTTTTGGAGACAGAGTCTCACTCTGTCGCCCAGGCTAGAGTGCCATGGTGTGATCTCTGCTCACTGCAACCTCCGCCTCCTGGGTTCAAGTGATTCTCCTGCCTCAGCCTCCCAAGTTGCTGGGATTACAGGTGCCCGCCACCACACCCAGCTAATTTTTGTATTTTTAGTAGAGACAGAGTTTCACCATGTTGGCCAGGCTGGTCTCGAACTCCAGACCTCGGGTGATCCACCCGCCTCCGTCTCCCAAAGTGCTGGGATTACAGACATGAGCCACCATGCCCGGCCAGGATAGTGTTTTTACAAAATGGGATTGAATACTTAACATTTGGAAGCATGTATTAAATGAACTTTGGAGTGTTTTAGAAAATGATAGTTTCTGAACAATAACTAGGCTTCACATGTCAGAACTTCTGTGAGTGGGACTGGGAATTTTTTTTAATGTCCCCAGATGATAATTTTAAATAAAGATTGAGAACTGATTTGAAATATTAACTCATACTTCTTACTCTAAATTAGCTTAAAACCAAGCTTGTTTGATGCGCCAATATGTCAGGTAAATCAGGCATAGAAGTGAAGACATTAAAAGCCTTCACACCTCCACTAGTTTTTTGCAGCATTTTCCTTTCCTTGAATGAATTCCTGCCTTCTCTGAATCTATATCCACAATAGACCAAAGTTGTATTATTGGATAGGAGGAAAAATTATTGTCCAAATTATTGTCTAAATTTTTCCAGCATCCAAAAGTATGGGTAAATAATCTACCTCTAGCACACAAGTCCTTCTTTGTGGGTAACAGTAGAGTTGACAACAACTAAGGGACATTTTCCTCCTCCTCTTCCATCTTCCCATCACTCGCATACCCACTTCTTTCTCATTTGCATGACCCTAGCACCTGCTCTGGGGCATACAAGGCTACAAAGAAGGACTTGTTACCTTTGGAGACTATCAGAACAGGTTCCTAATACAAAAGTCTCAGATGTACACACCATTTTATAGGTGTATATTTTAGACAGTAAGTCTGTGAAATGAGAAAACATGGTCTTGAAAAAGATGTAATCCTGTTACTTGTTATTACATCCTTCCTGTAACCAAAAAAGTTCACTTTTTATGTAACTGCAAAGGATTTCCTCCCAGATACTCTGGCCAAAGGAATGGATTCCTTCTTCATTTCCTAACTATAAAGATAATTACCTTCTGAAAAAAAAATACTAAAGTTTGTTCTGACACTACCTACACCTAGTCAATGCTTTTGCATTAATCCTCAGTAAAGATCAATTTAGTAAGCTTCATAACTACCAGGGACTCAGTCTTTGGTGAGAACTAAATACGTGAATTAATTTCCACATTGCTCTAGAGAAAGGTATCTTTCTCTAGAGTTTTACTTGTTCCTTAACTAATTTGGTTGAAAGATATATTTCTCTAGAGCAATGTGGAACTTAATTCATATATTTAGATATCAATTATATTTAGTTCAAAGTTGAAATCTTTTTCTGTTTTGCCTGATGATCAAAAGTGGTATCCTGACTGGGCGCGGTGGCTCACGCCTGTAATCTCAGCACTTTGGGAGGCCAAGGTGGGTGGGCCACCTGAGGTCAGACATTCAAGACCAGCCTGGCCAACATGGTGAAACCCCATCTCTACTAAAAATATAAAAAATTAGCTGGGCATGGTGGTGCATGCCTGTAGTTCCAGCTACTTGAGAGGCTGAGGCAGGAGAATCGCTTGAACCCAAGAGACAGAGGTTGCAGTGAGCCAAGATTGTGCCATTGCACTCCAGCCTGGGTGACAAGAGTGAAACTCCATCTAAAAACAAAACAAAACAAAAAAAAGTGGTGTCCTTTAGGATACAAACTGATGTTCCCAAATTACTAATGGATCATATTTTTCATTGGGTACATATCAAAAGGCTGCCAGCTCCCATCAGGGAAAGTCATCTTGAAAACTCTCTTCTGACCCATTTCCACAGTGCCCCACAGAGCTTACTCATGTGGAGTGCAGAGTGAGGAGAGTCTGATGGTGTGGTGGGACCTACATTGACTCCCCACCTCCTAGAGCCACACAATGTTTGTCCAAATATGCACCGGGTTGTACAGTAGAGACAATTATCATTGAAAATTCTTCCCACCTCCCTACATGTCCTGGTCTATTCTCTTGAAATGACAGCTCTGAGAATTCTAGCTTAATAGAAGCCTTAGAAGGAAAAAGCAACTGCAGTTTGTATCCTATTTTTTGGTTCCCTCCTAACCCACTTGGTGGTCAACGGCTATAGGATTTCAAAGGCTAGAGAGACCTCCCTAGGTCACAACCTTCATCTCCTTGAGGAAAGAATGTCCCTTCTTGGAGAAAAGAACAAAACCAAACCAAACCCAGGACTTGCCAAAAACATTAGCAGAAAAGAGACACAGCATCTCCTGTTACCTTCAGTCTACACCAAAATAATGATAGTCTCCACATTAAAGCAATTCCCATGCCCAATATTTCTTATTAACTCATAGTAGAAGTACCAGGAGATGGGAAGATTCTTCTGAAAGTTACCCAATAGAATCAGATTCCCTGGCTGCAGCTGTGGTATGTAACTTCAAGTTACAGTACAAAGGAAAAAGGCTTGGCCTTAATTCAGGCCCTCTGTCTTGATCATTACTTTGTTTTTCAATGTCACCTTCCATATCTTCATCATAACTTGACACAGTAATACAAAAGACTGTATTAATGCTCCCTCTAGTGGCTGGTCCGCCATTCTACTTTAAATCTTTGTGGTCACCTGGAGATTGGAGAGAGACCTATCTGAGGAGCTTCTCTCTTTCCTGTGTTTCCGTCCCCAGTCCTGCAGGTTTCTCTGGTGCTTGGGCCTTGTTCATCCTATTCAAGCAGCCCTTCTTTTCCTAACTTTTTTTCTGCTATACCTGCTAGCTTCCTAGTTACTTCAGTTCCTTGACTAATCCTTTTTTTTTTTTTTTGAGACTGAGTCTCGCTCTGTTGCCCAGGCTGGTGTGCAGTGGCGCAATCTCAGCTTACTGCAACCTCCCCGCCTTGGGTTCAAGCAATTCTCATGTCTCAGCCTCCCGAGTAGCTGAGATTACAGATGCCCGCCATCACCCCCGGCTAATTTTTTGTATTTTTAGTAGAGATGGTGTTTCACCATGTTGGCCAGGCTGGTTTCGAACTGCTGGCCTCAAGTGATCCTCCCACCTCAGCCTCCCAATGTCCTGGGATTACAGGCATGAGCCACCGTGCCCAGCAAACTTTGGCCAATCTTAACCAGAAATCATCCCAACAATTTTGCCTTCATCAGACAGAAAGAGATGAAAGCACCAAATGAATTCCATGTCCTGAATAGCCCAGCTACAATTGCTAAGCCTCCTAATCTCCAATTTCTTTCTGCCCACTCTCTGTTCCTCTTTGTGTTTTAACTTGTCACAGTGAAAAATTCCTGAAACCCAATATGAACATACATTCCATATAAATTCTCTGGGTTAGCTCTTCTAGGTCCTCAGTCATGGCTCCTCTCTATATATTTTCATTAACTCTAAGAAATTCTGTAATCTCTAGGAGAATGAGATGTTCTCTTGGCTTGACAGTGGTAACCTCATTTAGGTCCTCCTTCCCTTCCATGAGAATTTACATGTTTGAGCCCCACATCCCACTGGGATGGACACTGTAGTTTCAGCAGGGATTTTCAAAAAATTAAACGACTGAAGTAGTTAACATTTATTGAGCCCCTACTTCAGATCAAACACTGGGATAAGCACTTTTTTTGTTTTGTTAGTTGGCAGACAGATAAGGCAGGCTCCATGATTTGTGCCTTATATAATGTCTCCTCTTCTTTTGAGTAATATGGCAGAGGTGAAGGGGTTTTTCAGAGGCAATTAAAGTCCCAAACTGACTTTGAGTTAACCACAAGGAAGACTATCTTGAATAGGCCTGACTTAATTAGGTAAAGCCCTTAAAAAAGAGACTGAGTCCTTCCTTAGGGCAGATACTTCTCTCTCCAGTTGCCTTGAAAGGTAAGCCATCGTGTTGTGAGAGGAGCTATGGAGATGGCTATGTGGTAAGGAACTGTAGGCAGCCTCCAGGAGCTGAGAGCAGCCCTGGATGACAGCCAACAAAAAAATGGGAACCTCAGTCCAACAACCACAACGAATTGAATTCTGCCAACACATAAGCCTGGAAGCAGTTTTTCTCCAGCCAAGCCTCTGCATGAGAATACAGCTCAGTTAACACCTGGATTGCAGCCTTGTGAGACCCCAAGCAGAGGACCCAGCTAAGTCATGCCAGAGCTTCTGACAGGAACTATGATAGAGATGTATTGTTTTAAGATACTAAGTTTGTGGTAATTTGTTACACAGCAATATAAAAATAATAGAGATTTCTAGTTTCTAGAAGTTGAGTGGTGCTATAACAAAAACCTAAAAAACATGGAAACAGCTTTGGAATTGGGAAGTGGGAGCAGGCTAGAATAATTTTGAGGAACATGATAGAAAAAGTCTAAATTGCCCTGGATGGACTATTAGTAGAGATCTAGAATTTAAGGATACTGCAGTGAAGGCTCAGAAGAAAGTAAAGAACATGCTATTGGAGTCAGGAGGAAAAGGATCCTTCTTATATAGTGGCAGAATGACCTAGCAAAATTATTTCCTGGAGTTACATACAAATCAGAACCTGTAAGTAACAAATTTGGTTATAGTTAAAGAGACTTCCAGGCAAAGTGTTGAAGATTTCTCCTGATTTCTTCTTTCAGCTTGTAATAAAATGTGAGAGGTGAAAGATAAATTTGAGAAAAGAATTATTAGATAAAAAGAAACCAGGACTCCATAATTTTGAAATTCTCAGCCTCTCCAAAAGGCAAAACACACTACAATTGAGAGACTCCATCATGAATCTCTGCTGGGTATGACTGTATAATCCTTTGCTGAAAAATCAGAAATATAAAAAGTTTAGATTAATCAGGCACATAAAGTGTTCTTTTAAGAGAATCAGAGTTTGCCTCCCAGACATCAATCCAACACAAAGTCCCCTAGTTGGAAGCTTTAGGGCACTGTCCCTTCCCCTTCTCAGCAGAAGGCCAAAGTATGGAAGGGTTTATCTGAAAACGGTCTTTAAATGTGGCTTTTTTCTAATAAACTCCACTGTAATACATCAAAGACCCACATGTTCTTGAAAACTTAGTTCAGCAGAAACACTGCCACTTAAACTGAAAGACAAAGAGAGTACAGAATGAAAAGAGGCTGTTAGATGCCTCCCCCCAAAAAAAATCCTACTGGCAGGAAGAAGGCTAATAAAACTACTCAGCTGTGAACACATGCTACCTTTCATGAAAAAGGAAGGATGACTCAGGCGGCAGAATTAAGAACCCAGAGAGTAAAACTAGGAACCATAGAAAATTACATTCAGATCTTGAAACGTAATAAAGGAATGCCAACTATAGCTTTCCCAGCTGGATTTCAAGATTATTATGAAAAAGTGACACATTTTTAAACTTCTATTTTCCCCCTTTTTGAACTAAAACGCCCATAGCTTTTATCCTATGTCTGTCCCATCATTGTATGTTAGGTATACTGGAGACAGATAACTTGGATCTTTAGTTTCACCAGTCTGTAGATGGAGACCAACACTTCCCCAGAAGGTATACTTAACAGATTACACCTAGGAGTTTAATCCATGCCTGGACTTAATTTAAATAATGAAATTTTAGAGGTCAAGTAATTCATAGTGGGATGACACTCTCAGAACTGATAAGGGGTATAGTAGTCTGTTTTTACACTGCTATAAAGAAATACCCAAGACACAGTAATTTATACAGAAAAAGGGTTTAATCGACTCAGAGTTCTGCATGGCTGGGGAAGCCTCAGGAAACTTACAATCATGGCAGAAGGGGAAACAGGCAGGTCTTACGTGGCAGCAGGAGAGAGAAGAACAGGGGAAACTGCACTTATAAAACCATCAGATCTCATGAGAACTCACTCACAATCATGAGAACAGCATGAGGGAAACCACCTCCATGATCCAATCAACTCCCACTGGGTCCCTCCCTTGACACGTGGGGATAACAATTCAAGATGAGATTTGGTTGGGGACACAGAACCAAACCATATCAAAGGGGATAAATTTATTTATGTGAGAGGGACATGAATCACTAGGGGCCAGATGGTAGATTGTGGTAAGCAGATCTTAAGGTTCCCATGTCCTGGTGTCCACATATTTATGTAATTTTCTCTCTTGAGTCTAAGTGGGTCCTGTGATTTGCTTTTAGCTAATAGAATATGGCAAAGATGACAGGATCTAACTCCCATGATCACGTTACATTTTAGAAGCCACCATTCCAGCAGATGAGGACAAGAAGTTCCTCCATGCTGGCTTTGAAAAGGCAAGTCACCATATTTAGAGAAGGCCTGTGGAGAATAGCATGTGGCAATGGAGAATATCATGTGGCAAAGAACTATGGGCAGCCTCTGAGAGCTGAGAATGGCCTCTAGACAAGAAAATAGGGACCTCAATCCTATAATTATAAGATGAATTCTGCCAACAACCTTAGAAAGCTTGAAGACAGATCTTTACCCTGCTGTCTTAGTCCATTTGTGCTGTTATAATAGAATACCTGAGACTGGGTAATTTATAAAGAATAGAAATTTATTTTCTTACAGTTTTGCAGGCTGGGAAGTCCAAGATAAAGCCACCAGCATCTGACAATGGCCTTCTTGCAACATCCTCCAACAGAGAGGAACAACATGTCCTCACATGGCAGAAGAGCACAGAGGAAAAAGAAGACCAAACTCACTCTTTTATAAGAGCATTAATCCCACATAGGAAGGCAGAGCCCTCATGGCCCTTTTGCTTCCCAAAATTCTCATATTCTAATACCACCACGGTGGGAACCAAATTTCAACATGAGTTTTGGAGCAGACAAACATTCAAACCATAGCACCGCTCAAACCTTTGATGAGACCACATCCTCAGCAAACACCTAGATTAAAATCTGGTGAGCTCTTAAAGCAGAGAACATAACTACACTATGCCTGGACTTCTGACTTATAGAAACTGTGAGATAATAAATGTGTGTCTTTAAACCCTCAAGTTTATGGTAATTTGCTACACAGCAATAGAAAACTAAAACATGTCATTTGATCATCTTAATAAGAAATGGTTTTGATAGTGGCCATTTTAATATAGAAAAAAGATAAATAATCACAGATGGTGAGTAACGAACTCAAGATCACACAGGTGGTAAAGAGCAGACAGAGAACTGTAAATCTGGTTTCCTTCCCATGACACTATGTGGTCTCATAGAGAAGAAACCATGGTTGCCTCTGCAACTGCCCATCTAACCCAAAGCTCTCATTTTCCTTGTCTATTATGGGCAAAGCTACCTGAACAACAGCTCTTGTTTGCCTTTCACCTCTGAGCCCTTTATATTTAATTATGATTTCATAGTTTCTCAATTAAATGAAGTGAATAGTAGTCATGCCCAGAAACAGAGTAAACTCAAAACTTTGTGGGAAAAAGAAGAGACATTCAATTTCAGTAACTCTTTCATCAAAATCCCCATCTGCTCCTTCCCTGACAGTAAGAAAAACAAAGCCCACTAAGGCAACATGTGATAAGCATATTTTTGCAATGTCAGAGGCTATTTCTTCTTCTTTGTCTCTCCATTAACTTAAATTCTTTTTTATTATTATTATACTTTAAGTTTTAGGGTACATGTGCACAATGTGCAAGTTTGTTACATATGTATACATGTGCCATGTTGGTGTGCTGCACCCATTAACTCATCATTTAACATTAGGTTTATCTCCTAATGCTATCCCTCCCCCCTCCTCCCACCCCACAACAGACCCCGGTGTGTGATGCTCCCCTTCCTGTGTCCATGTGTTCTCATTGTTCAATTCCCACCTATGAGTGAGAACATGCAGTGTTTGGTTTTTTGTCCTTGCCATAGTTTGCTGAGAATGATGATTTCCAGCTTCATCCATGTCCCTACAAAGGACATGAACTCATCGTTTTTTATGGCTGCATAGTATTCCATGGTGTATATGTGCCACATTTTCTTAATCCAGTCTATCATTGTTGGACATTTGAGCTGGTTCCAAGTCTTTGCTATTGTGAATAGTGCCACAATAAACATACGTGTGCATGTGTCTTTACAGCAGCACGACTTATAATCCTTTCGGTATATACCCAGTAATGGGATGGCTGGGTCAAATGGTATTTCTAGTTCTAGATCCCTGAGGAATCGCCACACTGACTTCCACAATGGTTGAACTAGTTTACAGTCTCACCAACAGTGTAAAAGTGTTCCTATTTCTCCACATCCTCTCCAGCACCTGTTGTTTCCCGACTTTTTAATGATCGCCATTCTAACTGGTGTGAGATGGTATCTCATTGTGGTTTTGATTTGCATTTCTCTGATGGCCAGTGATGATGAGCATTTTTTCCTGTGTCTGTTGGCTGCATAAATGTCTTCTTTTGAGAAGTGTCTGTTCATATCCTTCTCCCACTTGTTTATGGGGTTGTTTTTTTCTTGTAAATTTGTTTGAGTTCTTTGTAGATTCTGGATAGTAAACCTTTGTCAGATGAGTAGATTGCAAAAATTTTCTCCCATTCTGTAGGTTGCCTGTTCACTCTGATGGTAGTTTCTTTTGCTGTGCAGAAGCTCTTTAGTTTAATTAGATCCCATTTGTCAATTTTGGCTTTTGTTGCCATTGCTTTTGGTGTTTTAGACATGAAGTCCTTGCCCATGCCTATGTCCTGAATGGTATTGCCTAGGTTTTTTTCTAGGGTTTTTATGGTTTTAGGTCTAACATTTAAGTCTTTAATCCATCTTGAATTAGTTTTTGTATAAGGTATAAGGAAGGGATCCAGTTTCAGCTTTCTACATATGGCTAGCCAGTTTTCCCAAAGCCTTTTATTAAATAGGGAATCCTTTCCCCATTTCTTGTTTTTGTCAGGTTTGTCAAAGATCAGATAGTTGTAGATATGCAGCATTATTTCTGAGGGCTCTCTTCTGTTCCATTGGTCTAGATCTCTGTTTTGGTACCAATACCATGCTGTTTTGGTTACTGAAGCCTTGTAGTATAGTTTGAAGTCAGGTAGTGTGATGCCTCCAGCTTTGTTCTTTTGGCTTAGGATTGACTTGGCATTGCGGGCTCTTTTTTGGTTCCATATGAACTTTAGAGTAGTTTTTTCCAATTCTGGGAAGAAAGTCATTGGTAGCTTGATGGGGATGGCATTGAATCTATAAATTACCTTGGGCAGTATGGCCATTTTCACGATATTGATTCTTCCTACCCATAAGCATGGAATGTTCTTCCATTTGTTTGTATCCTCTTTTATTTCATTGAGCAGTGGTTTGTAGTTCTCCTTGAAGAGGTCCTTCACATCCCTTGTAACTTGGATTCCTAGGTATTTTATTCTCTTTGAAGCAATTGTGAATGGGAGTTCACTCATGATTTGGCTCTCTGTTTGTCTGTTATTGGTGTATAAGAATGCTTGTGATTTTTGCATGTTGATTTTGTATCCTGAGACTTTGCTGAAGTTGCTTATCAGCTTAAGGAGATTTTGGGCTGAGACGATGGGGTTTTCTAGATATACAATCATGTCATCTGCAAACAGGGACAATTTGACTTCCTCTTTTCCTAACTGAATACCCTTTATTTCTTTCTCCTGCCTGATTGCCCTGGCCAGAACTTCCAACACTGTGTTGAATAGGAGTGGTGAGAGAGGGCATCCGTGTCTTGTGCCAGTTTTCAAAGGGAATGCTTCCAGTTTTTGCCCATTCAGTATGATATTGGCTATGGGTTTGTCATAGATAGCTCTTATTATTTTGAGATATGTCCCATCAATACCTAATTTATTGAGAGTTTTTAGCATGAAGCGTTGTTGAATTTTGTCAAAGGCCTTTTCTGCATCTACTGAGATAATCATGTGGTTTTTGTCTTTGGTTCTATTTATATGCTGGATTACATTTATTGATTTGCGTTTGTTGAACCAGCCTTGTATCCCAGGGATGAAGCCCACTTGATCATGGTGGATAAGCTTTTTAATGTGCTGCTGGATTCGGTTTGCCAGTATTTTATTGAGGATTTTTGCATCGATGTTCATCAAGGATATTGGTCTAAAATTCTTTTTTTTGGTTGTGTCTCTGCCAGGCTTTGGTATCAGGATAATGCTGGCCTCATAAAATGAGTTAGGGAGGATTCCCTCTTTTTCTATTGATTGGAATAGTTTCAGAAGGAATGGTACCAGCTCCTCCTTGTACTTCTGGTAGAATTCGGCTGTGAATCCATCTGGTCCTGGACTTTTTTTGGTTGGTATGCTATTAATTATTGCCTCAATTTCAGAGCCTGTTATTGGTCTATTCAGAGATTCAACTTCCTGGTTTAGTCTTGGGAGGATGTATGGGTCGAGGAATTTATCCATTTCTTCTAGATTTTCTAGTTTATTTGCGTAGAGGTGTTTATAGTATTCTCTGATGGTAGTTTGTATTTCTGTGGGATCGGTGGTGATATCCCCTTTATCATTTTTTATTGCGTCTATTTGATTCTTCTCTCTTTTCTTCTTTATTAGTCTTGCTAGCGGTCTATCAATTTTGTTGATCTTTTCACAAAACCAGCTCCTGGATTCATTGATTTTTTGAAGGGTTTTTTGTGTCTCTATTTCCTTCAGTTCTGCTCTGATCTTAGTTATTTCTTGCCTTCTGCTAGCTTTTGAATGTGTTTACTCTTGCTTCTCTAGTTCTTTTAATTGTGATGTTAGGGTGTCAATTTTAGATCTTTCATGCTTTCTCTTGTGGGCATTTAGTGCTATAAATTTCCCTCTACACACTGCTTTGAATGTGTCCCAGAGATTCTGGTATGTTGTGTCTTTGTTCTCATTGGTTTCAAAGAACATCTTTATTTCTGCCTTCAGTTCGTTATGTACCCAACTTAAGTTCTTAAAACTCTCAGATGCTTTATTAAACACAAAAGCTAACGAAGTCCTTCATTTGTTCGTTTCATTTTAAGAAGAAATGTCACTAACACACTTCTGATTTGATATTCTTATAGTACCCATACCATTTAAGAACACAGTGATATCCATTCTAAATTTAATATAGATGTAATAAATGCTCAAGTAAGACAAGCACTCAGAATTTCAGTCTTATTTTTGAAATTGTGTTATTTCCATTGGGCATGGAAAGAATTTCTGAAGTCCAAGAGTTTTTTTTTTTTGTTTTTTTTTTTTTTGAGACAGAGTCTCGCTCTGTAGCCCTGGCTGAAGTGCAGTGGCGCAATCTCAGCTCACTGCAGCCTCCACCTCCCAAGTTCAAGTGATTCTTCTGCCTCAGCCTTCCTAGTAGCTGGGTTTATAGGTGTGTGCCACCACCCCCAGCTAATTTTTGTATTTTTAGTAGAGACAGGATTTCACAATGTTGGCCAGGCTGGTCTTGAACCCCTGACCTCAAGTGATCTGCCCACCTCTGCCTCCGAAAGTACTGGGATTGCAGGCATGAGCCACCGAGCCCAGCCAAGTCCAGGAGACTTTTAAGACTCCTTTGTTCAAATAAGTCTTCCAAGGAGAAATGTATATTAAGAGAGACAAAAAGAAGCTAGCAGTTATACATACATTCGGAGATTGCATAGTAGTAATAAGAATAATATTCATTGTTACTGTTCTTAAATTGACATATTTCTAGTTGGACTGAAGTTTCTCTGTAAATATAAGGAAGAGAGGAAATCTTCTCCCTGTATCTTTCTAAGATTCCATTCTACTAGAAGTTTTTCGTTGAGAAGACTTAATTTTTTTGAGACACGACTCTGGCATTGTGTTATCACGAAAAAAAGAGCACGCCTAGTTTACTAGGGGAAAAAGTAGAGAAAAAATTGAACAGAATTTTTCCTTAATGATAATGGAATATGTATCCATGTAATATTTTGTCTACATTTCCTATATAGCTCAGAAAGGAGTCCAGTTTTTAGCAGAACACAGCAGGGTCCCTAGAAAGAAACCATTCTCTGCAGCTGAGGATACACTAACTTTAGGAAAGGATCAGAGCAATGCCTGGCAGGAAAAGATCAGCAATCCTAGCTGTCACTGACTCTCCATCTGACTTTCCCTCTCTGCCCCACAGTTCCAAATGTCACTTTGTCCAAGCTGGAGATGGCTTCCTGGATCACTGGGCTCTTGTTTTCCTCTAGGAAAAGATTTATGTAGACAACTTCCTTTAGTTTATTCAGAATAAAGCTGGAATTTTCCCAAATCAACTAGAAAACAGGCAGTAAAGGAAAGAAACGTGGAAGCCTAAAGATACGAAAGTTTACAGAACATACCTTCTTTGGTCAGTTCTTAAAAGTGCTCAGTCATCGCCAGCACCGTGTTCTGTCTTCAGGACTCAAAGCTGAACAAGCCATAATCTCTGTTTCTGGGGATTACAGTCAGTGAGCCAAGGGGAAACAGAGAAGACTATGAAGGATTACAATCAAGAGTGTGTTGTAAATGTTTTAACCAGCTCTTCAGAAAATAAAATTCCTGTTTTGTAGCATTTGCCTGTTTCTATTACATAAATATCCTCTCTGTGGCCACTTTCAAATTACCAACTCCAGCTTAAAATTGTGAGAGACGCAAAGTAACACATCATTACATAATATACCCTCTCTCTCTTCTTTACACACACACACATATATGCAATGAAAAAAACATAGACTTGGATTCAGCAACATAGATTATAGAAAATAATTAGAAAGTGATGGATTTTGAGTTTTACTACCCTTGTTTTTATATACTTTATTTACGTATAAATCTACATAATCTTTATTGAAGTGAAATTAACATAACATAAAATTAACCAACCCCTCATCATCCCCCTCACCACCCTTCCAATTCTTAAATATAAGACCTAAAACTATGAAACTCCCAGAAGAAAACATTGGGGAAACTCTTCAAGACATTTTTTATACTAGTATGTTTTTAGCCTCAATTTCATTTATTCTTGCTCTGATCTTTATGATTTCTTTCCTTCTACTATTTTTAGCTTTGGTTTGTTCTTGTTTTTCTAGTTTCCTGAGGTGCATTATTAGGTTGTTTATTTGAAATCTTTCCATTTTTTTGATGTAGGCATTTACTGCTATAAACTTCCCTCTTAGTACTTCTTTTGCTGTAGCCCATTGATTTTGGTATGTTGTCTTTTCACTTTCCTTTATTTCAAGAAATTATTTAAATTCCTTCTTAATTTCTTCATTAGCCAGTAGTTAGGAACACATAACTTCCATGTGTTTGTATAGTTTCCAAGGTTTCTCTTATTTATTTCCAGTTTTATTCATTGTGGTCAGAAAATACACTTAATATGATCTTGATTTCTTTGAATTTGTTGAGATTGGTTTTGTGGCATTGCTTGTGGTCTGTCCTAGAGAATATTCCATGTGCTAATGAGAGGAATATACATTCTGCGGAAGTGTGGTGAAATGTTCTGTAAATGTCATTTAGGTCTATTAGATCTAATGTGTAGGTTAACTCTGCTTTTTCTTTGCTGATTTTCTGTCTGGATGATCTGTCCATTACTGAGAGTAGGGTGTTGAAGACCCCCACTATTATTATATTGCAGTCTATTTCTCCCTTTAGATCTATTAATGTTTGCTTTATATACTAAGGAGCTTCAATGTTAGGTACATATAGGTTTATAATTGTTGTATCTGTGATATAGTTTAAATGTTTGTCCCCTCCAAATCTCATGTTGAAATGTGATGCCAGGTGTTGGAGGTTGGCATAGTGAGGAATGTTTAGTTCATGGGAGAAGATCCTTCATGAATGTTTTGGTGTCCTCCTCAGTGTAATGAGTGAGTTCTCACTCTAGTAGTTCATGCAAGAGCTGGTTGTTTAAAAGAGCCTGGCATCTCACTCCTGCTCTCCCTCTCACTATGTGACATGCCTGCTCCCCGTTCAGATTCTGCCATGATGGAAGCTTCCTGAGCCCTCACCAGAAGCAGATGTTGCGATATGCTTCTTGTACAGTCTGCAAAACCATGAGCCCAAATAAACTTGTCTTCTTTATAAATTACTCAGCCTCAGATATTACTTACTGTATAGCAATGCAAAAAGGATTAATACAATTTTCTTGTTGAATTGACCATTTTATCATCATATAGTGACTTTACC